>NC_000015.10:87804914-87956429 GCF_000001405.40 Homo sapiens | reverse complement strand
TGGTGGCACGTGCCTGTAATCTCAGCTACTCAGGAGGCTGAGGCAGGAGAAACGCTTGAACCTGGGAGGCAAAGGTTCAGTGAGCCGAGATTGTGCCATTGCATTCCAGCCTGGGTGACAGAGTGACTCTGTCTCAAACAACAACAACAACAAAAACCAGAACAGCCCACTTTGTACGTACCTGGAGTAACTTGCAGTATGTTATTTGGGCACTTTTAAATTTTTATGGCTATTGTTGGAAGATGAAAAATCAGTTTCCATCTGACTGTTGCTTGCAAGTCATTTTTCCATATATTCTCCCATTTATACACAAAGAAATGGAGGCCCAGGGAGAGTAGGTAGTCTATCCTGACCCCTCCAGATCTAGATACACACACCTTCCCAGTACCCCAGGGTCCTCTCCTTGTCCCACCACGGGGCTTATTACAATGTATTCAAATTTCCTGGGTGACTCATCTATCCTCTTCTCTATACCGATGAGCTCCAGGAGGACGAGAAGAGTCTCTTATTCCCTGCTGGAGACCCTAGCCCAGTTCCTGACACACACTATAAAGTTTAATGCATATTTGTTGAATATGAAAAGGATTGAACCAACATGTGACCCCTCAGCAAATAAGTGGGAGAGCCCTGGTTGGCACCTTGGTTTCCATCACCGTCAACAACGATCTCCTTTGTTGAACTGGCCTCTTTTCTGCCCAGTACCACTAGGCAGGGGGCTGGAATGGGGCCAATGGTCGTGCCTGTTGGCAAGTTTGGAGCAAGGGTTACTCAGAGGCGTTGGTGTAGGTGAACATTTCCAGCTCTCTTCATCCTCTTCTCAGTTAAGACCCAAGCACAGAGCTACTAACTCGCTGCAGTCCCATTCAACCCCTCGTAGGGTTCTCTATGCCAATGTGAACGGCACTCAGCAAGGTCACTCTGTGTGCCTTCCACCTGCTGTGAGTTTATCATTTGTTGTCGGCTGCCCTCCAGGTTCCCTGAGCCATGCCGTGTCCCCAAATCTCCTGACCCTCTGTAGCGTGCAGCAGATAACAAACAGCCTCTGTAAGCTGAGCAAAGGCCCCAGTTAAACACCTATGGCCTAGGGCAGTCAGAGTTCTCTATAGCTCAAAGTGGCAGGCAGAACTTCTGCAGACAAATTCCTGCTTCAGGTGGGCAGGTGGAGTAGGTGTGTTATTAAAGGAGGGAGGACCTTTGAATTTATACTCGTCTCTGTGTCCACGGGCACAAGGCAGCTCAAACTGAGCAGCCTCGGGTAACAGAGCAGAAATGAATCTTATTTTTAGCATGCACTCCATGCCTGATACTATGCTAAGGGATTTACAGATGAATATTAACTCATTTGCTTACAAATGTTAGCAGTAGATCACACTTCCCAAATGCAATGTCATGTCAGAGAGGTTGAGTAAGATGTCTGGTGTCACATAGCTAGTTAGTAGCAGAGCTGGGAATGCCCAGTCTCATAGTTCACACTCCTCCTTACCACACTCCTGGGAAATCTATGGCCAAAGAATTGTGCTACTTGTGCATGAGAAATGAAAGGACTTACTAAAAAAGACAGACGCTGTGGCTGTCAGGGAATTTATGGGTGCACTTATAGATGATTTTATTTATTGATCTGTTTATTTTTAGCATCCACTAGATGAAAACAGTGTAGACAGCACAGCAGGTGAAAAGATGACATGGTTTTTCACACATGTTAAATTAGTAACCATGGGCACTGAACAGCAAATTCCATTTCCCAAACCCTGGCCAGCTAGAAACTTTTCTGGGGGAAGTCTCTTCAATGAAACATTTATCAAGTGGTTTTGCTCTGTTGCAGATAATATTTTTTTTTCCTATGACTGGTCTTCCATCCAAATATTTAATTCCTTCCTGATTTTATAACTTGGATTTCCTAACTCATTCTGCCTAAGTCATGACCTGGAGTAATCGGAGATTCATATATGTTTGCTCCAAAATCTCACAGATAAGGGGAAATTATACAGGAGAATATCCATGTGTAATTGACACAAAACACATCTGCAGGAGGCAGGAGGTATAGCTGTCTGGTCATTCAGCCTCCATACTTTTTGTACTGAAAGTGGGAAAATGAGTAAGTACTTAGAGAGGAGACATAGAGGGAAAGGGCTAGTTTCTAGGGTAAAGAGCTGGTGTGGGAAACATCTCATCTCACATATATCCCCTAGTTGGAATTTGTAGGACTGTACAAAGAGAGCCCAAGGGCTGGCCTCTCGGAGAGCTGGCAGGAGAGGGATGGCAACCCAGGCCGTGGGCCTTGCCTGAACCCTGCACAGTGGAGGCTCAAGGAGTCATTCACATCTGCCCACAGAGCCTACAATAAAGATCTATTTCAGAGAAAAAAAGCATACACACACACACACACACACACACACACACACACACACACACACACACACACTGAAAAGGTCTGGCAGGAGCAGAGCAGCTGCAGAAGGCAGCAAAGAACAGGCTGGCAATGGAGGTCGATAACCCGCACGGAGGAGGGGCAGATGGGCAAGGGGGCTAGAAAGAACTCGTTCCCAGGGAAAGCAGAGAAAGTGGAGTGGTCTATTCCCAAGGAGGCCACAGCCTGCAGACAATGTGTAGATGTCACCATATGAAGCAGCAATCTCTTCTGAAAAAGCAGAGAGGAAATGTCCGCCAGGCTGATAAGAAAGGGGAGTTGGGGTCCTTCTGCAGAGCATAGAAGGATGGCTCCTTTTGGGGCTCCTGAGTGTGTTTGATGTGGGTTCCTGAGGCTGATGCCCCAGAGACCTCACCTTGGTTCTTCTGGGGCCACCCAAAGAGGTCCAGGCCTATCAATAAGAGGTGGCCATTCATTAGCTGCACAGGTCTAGTGATATTCAGTGAAGATTTCTCCCTTCTCTATTTTCCACTGACCGTCAGTCCCAGAAACCACTTGACCTCCAATGTCTGGGATCTTCCCAGAGACTAGTAAGAACAAATAACATTGACATCATTGAAACCTCACACTTCTCTATGTGACTCAGTTTCTGTCAGTACCAGGAAAACGATAAAGAATCGTCTTCTGGTCCAAAGCACCATCCATGTAAGTGTTTGCTGATGACTTTAGCTAGTGCCCGAGAGGCAGCAAACTCGGAGCTTGGTGAACACACATGGACCTGATCCAAGACCCCCAAGCCAGGGGAGGGATTCCAGGGGTCAGATAGGGGCGCTTGTAATTCCACCAGTTCTTTTTCTTTGGTTTTCTTTTGTTGTTTTCTATAGAATTGTAGGGTGGGAGAGGTTCAGGAGACAGGCCAGAAAACCACCGGCCAGTGCGTTTAACATCTGGTGTGGGGGAAACTCTTGGAAGTCAGCTCAGAGGATGTGGTGGGAAAACACCTGGCAGAGTGAGTGGGCTTCGACAGGGGGAAGCATGGATCCAGGATCGCGGAGGCCTTGCGGAACGAATCTGCTGGCTGCGCTGAGCTGTGGCTGCCCACGCGGAGGGCCGGCGTGGCTGGGACTCGCAGGCCCTGGCCTCCGACCTTGTTCCCCATCAGATACAGGGTGAGGGCCAGAGCGAGAGGCTTAGAGGGGGCGGCGGGGGTAGGGCAGGAAAGGCGGGGGTGCCTGGCAGAAGCCCTGGCTCCGGGAGTGGGAGTGGGGAATGGGAACATATACCTTGAAAGGGGCCCAGCGTGACCTCTCGGGACTCCCGGACAGTCTCCTCAGTCTGCGGAGGGTGGGCTTCAGAGACTTCCAAAAGAGTCTGATGGAAACGGTGTCCAAATGCAGAGGTCACGCGGAAGGAGATGGTGCCGGGAATAATGGAGTGCGCACAGGGTGAGCCGGCGGCCAAGATAACTTTGTGTCACCAAGGGCTCCAGAGGAAGCCTGTGGGAGCTGGGCTGAGTTACGGAGGGACGGGGAGCTGTCTGTCCCCGGGGCAGGGAGAGGAGGTGGGGGTTCGCAGAGAGGCTGATCACCAGCGCTCCACTGCACACCTGAGGGAAGACAGGAAGCCCCAATGGGGCAACCAGAGCAGCCCAACAGAGCTTCCCTGCTGTGCAAGGGCAAGAGCCCTTTCATGGGGGGCACGTGTGTGTCCTAGGAGCTCACGACTAGACTGGATTTTAAGCACGTTAGGAAGAAGAGGAAAGAGGAGTCTTTCTTTTCTTTCTTTCTTTCCTTCCTTCTTTTCTTTCTCTTTCTTTCTTTTTCTTTTCTTTTCTTTCTCTTTTCTTTTCTTCTTTCTTTCTTTCCTTTCTTCTTTCTTTCTCCTTCTTTTCTTTCTTCTTTCTTTCTCCTTCTTTTCTTTTCTTTTCTTTCTTTTGAAATGGAATCTTGCTCTGTTGCCCAGCCTGGAGTGCGGTGGCGCCATCTCGGCTGACTGCAACCTCTGCCTCCCAAGTTCAAGCGATTCTCCCACCTCAGCTTCCCGAGTAGCTAGGATTACAGGTGCGTGCCATCACGCCTGGCTAATTTTTGTTTTTTTAGTGGAAACTTGCTTTCACTATATTGGCCAGGCTGGTCTCAAACTCCTGACCTCAGGTGATCTATCTGCCTCAGCCTCCCAAAGTGCTGGGATTACAGGTGTGAGCCACCACACCCGGCCAAGTCTTTCTTGAAGAAAGACCCTTAGGGTTAAGGACCCCACATGGGGATTCTAGTTTCTACATTTCCGTGGACTTCGGGCCTGCCTTCCATTTCCTTCAGAAGCAGGGCATCACCTTCTCTCTGGTGTCTGAGCCTTCTGCTTTAAGCAAGAGTAAAGTTAGGCTTTTCCACAGAAAGGCCTCCCAAGTCTCTGTGGAAGGACTCACTGGGTGACCTGTTCATTTCCTAGGGTCCTTTGTGCATTAACTAAAATCCTTTCCATCAGTAAGTTCATTGCTGGGGGAAAGAATGAGGGTAAGCAGACTTCTTCAGGCCAGCAAGCTTTTCTTCTGGAACCTGGTGAATGTAGGAAGTCTAAGGGCTCGGCCCATGTCCACAAATGAACTGGAATTTTATGCCTTAGTATAACTAAATCCTATCACATAAAAATTGAATGCTGGTCTTTGCCAACACCACTTACTCTCTCTAGTCAGGCAGCAAGGTTGTTTTGAACTGGTTTCCTCTGAGCTGCCCAGGAGGTGAGCTTATGTAGGGGGCAACAAAATAAGCAGAGATGGTCCTAGGACACCTATTTTTGCATAAGGAATAGACATTCTGAGGAGAGAAAGAGAAGATCAGGAAATGATCTTACGGATAACACAGGATTATTTCCCGTGTTGGGGATTGGGTTGATTTCTACTAGTGGAAGTGGGGACGGGTACCCCAGATGGAGGAAAGCTAGGACACAGATGCACAGCACGAGCTCACATGGTTGCTCAGAGGACAGTGGATGGCCAGCCTGTCCATCTGTTGGATCTATTTAATGCATTTATGAGGATAAAGCCTGGGGATTTGGGCCAGGTTATCAGAATTCTCAAATATCAGACTAAAAACTGTCCTGAAGACATGGATACTCTATGTTAAGGCCTATTGAGCACCTACTGTGTGCCTCCCAACTGTTTTAAACACTTAATCTCTTCATTTAAAGATATCAAAACTCCATGCAGTAAGCACTTTAATAATAACCGTAACAATAATAAGGGAGAATCCTTGCAGGTTTGAGCAGAGAGCAGGTGAGAGGAAGAAATTGGCATATTCCTTCCCGAACTTTTATGGGCATTAGCTCCTTCGACACGCTCCAAA
This sequence comes from Homo sapiens, assembly GCF_000001405.40. Classification (NCBI taxonomy): domain Eukaryota; kingdom Metazoa; phylum Chordata; class Mammalia; order Primates; family Hominidae; genus Homo; species Homo sapiens. The sequence continues at coordinate 87,950,720 of NC_000015.10, read as the reverse complement.
TGTACGACTGTACACATGATTTCACTGAATCCTCATGGCAAGTCAATGAGGTGGATATTTTCTTAATTTCGCTCATGAAAACAACATTTGAGACTGGTTTAGTAAATTGCCAAATGCGGCCTCTGAGGATGTGTCCTTGAGTGTGAATTTATACCCAGTTCTGTCTCATTCCAAAGCCATGTTCTTTCTCAGTCCCCTTACTCTGATCCTGGTGTTTGCTCCCAAGGTCCCCTTCCTGTCCTTTCTTCTTTTCTTCGTGTCTGTTGTATTTTGGGGGGTGCTGCTGCCTCTCTTTTATAGACCAAATGATGCTCTTTCTCCTTATTCTGCCTGAAGCAGCTCAGTTTTATCTTGGACCCATGGTTGTAGGTAGCTGTCAAGGTCAATGGTGTGTCCTGCAAATGGGTGACTGGGATCCTCTGGTCTCCCCTTCTACGGTTCACCCTGTGGTCCTCACAGGTGTTTCTCTTCCTGACCTCAAGACTTTCATCATGGAGCTGCATCTCATGGCTCCAGTGCCCTGCAACCTATGTCTTGGCCCAGAATTCTGGTGCTGGAAGGGACAGCCTTTAGCACATTGTGCTCTGCGTGTTCTGGTGAGAACATGACATCACAGGGACGGCTTGGGGGACAGAGCCAGATGCCAGGAATGAGAGGCCAAGGCAGCATTCCTGGGTAGTAGCTGGAAAGGAAGGGCCTCTGGGGAGATTGAGAGGTGGGATGTGACCCTCATATGGGCACTTTGAAGAGGGTTTGTCACTGTCAGGCCAGAAGAGGCAGAGGAAGGAGGGGGCCCAGCAAGTTGTCAGAGGGACACATTCTCAGTCGGAGCCTGAGATTCATCTTTCAGCACCTAACTTCACAATTCCAGATGGCTCTCCTTGGGGAGTTCTTTTTCTCTTTATTCTTGGCTCAAGCAGTCACTGCTTAATGAGAGCCAGAGGCACTCTTGCCACGGGAAAGGCCAACAGAATATAGAGACCAGGAAGTGGGTATGAAAGGGCAGGCGTACTGTGGTAGGGAGGCTGATGTTGGGAGCCTGGGTGTTGGTTGGTGTCTGAGCTCATGGCGGTGGAGCATGGTGGGGTAGCACTGGGGAGCAGGGACACTTCTGAACTTCAGCCTCAGCTTCTGAACTTCTTGTGTCAGGAAATGTGAACTGGAAATTGCCCCAGAACAGACAGTCCTCTGCTGATCCTCTCTCTTCACTGCTTCCAGAAACAGCAGGGTGTCTTATTTATATGTTCATCTTGGTGGGAACACAGTGTCTCGGTGTCCTAGACTGCTACCTCTAGCCTAAGGGTGCACACGTGCCCCAGAGTGGGACCTGCTGTTTGCTGAGCTTCTTCAGAGCTGACCACGGAGGCACTTTGTTTAGAAGTCTGGGGAGCCGGAGACTGAGGGTTAGGATGTGGGTCTCAGTACTTTCCTGGTTCAATACGATCTTGGTTCCTCGGGCCATTCTCGGAGCCAGGACATAAATAAGTCTGTTCTTAGGAACTTCCTGGCTCTTTTCCCATTCTCACTCATCTTTCCTTTCTTTTTGCCACTCCCCCAGATTCCCTTCTTCCTCCCTCTTTGCAGTGTTTTCCCTGCTAAAGTCTCTAGCAGTGCTTCAGGGGGAGTTTTAATTTATTTGCCCATTCATCATATAGTTAGTGGGTACCTACTTGGTCTCAGGCCCTGTGCTAGGCCCAGCCTACGAACTTGAGCAACACATGCCTTTTGACTTTTGGCCTTTTGACTTGTGCAACTGCCAGCACCCTTCAAAGCCTCTTTGTAAAAATGTCAAACTCTGAAAAGAATGTGTGAGGGAAGCCCTAATCCAGAGAAGGCCTAGGGACGAGGCATGGACTGGCCAGCAGAAAGATCCAGGTTCTTATTCTTAGGTAAAAAATCCTGAGCCAACCTGGTCCCAGGGCAGCAACAGGAACAATCAGGGCTGGTGGTCATTCAACCTGGAATCCATTCCCAAGTCATTGTTACCCCATTTGACTAATCATTTTTATTTTTTATTTTATTTATTTATTTTTGAGACAGAGTCTTGCTCTGTCGCCCAGGCTGGAGTGCAGTGGCGCAATATCAGCTCACCACAATCTCCGCCTCCCAGGTTCAAGCGATTCTCCTGCTTCAGCTTCCCAAGTAGCTGGGATTATAAGCACATGGCACTGAGTGCGGATAATTTTTGTATTTTTAGCAGAGATGGGGTTTCGCCATGTTGGCCAGGCTGGTCTTGAACTCCTGACCTCAAGTGATCCACCCACCTCGGCCTCCCAAAGTGCTGGGATTACAGGCGTGAGCCACCGCACCTGGCCTTGATTACTAATTTTTAAATTCTAGACCTCTAAAAAAATTCTGCAGAGTTTTTGTCTTAGATCTCCAGCCTTCAAAATGTCTTCTCTTAGAAAGGTCCTTTACAGGAAACCAGGAGATCCTCTTTTTTCTCCTAGTCTATAAATCATCCAGGGATGGCTCTGCAGGAGTGGTGGTTTGAATAGTTTAGCCATGCTCTACTCTTCTGTCCAGGTGGAGAACTGACTGGGTTGGCTGGAGACCCCTACAAAGGGCCTGTAGCTGGCCAGGGCACATGTTTGTCTGGCTATGCTCTTATGCAATACCTTATGCAATTAGCTCCTCTTGCTTGCCATTCATAGAAGGCGTGAGGTGAGACCCAGCCAGGAGGCCAGGAGAAAGTGTGAGGGCAGTTCTTTGAGGGCTGGCAGAAATTTATATCTTGAGCCCAGGCAGGGCCCTGCCCTCTTGGTGGTCTCCTTCCCCCTCAAAGGTTCAAAGCTGGCCCTCTTTCTCCCTCCTGCCACTTCAAACACCCAGAGTTGGAGCTCCCAGAATGTTATTCTTTTCCATTTAAAGACATTCCATTTCATGTGTAATTAAATATGTGGTATTGAATTAATGTTTTCTTCTGAGCCTTTTTGGCAGCCAGAGACCCTAGGGTCTGGTTAGTGCAGAGAAAACACACGCTTCTCACAGATCCTCCCTTCCTCTCCCTGTTTTCTCTTCCCCCTTCTCTCCTGCCAAGAATCTCCCTCCTCCCTCCTCCCTCCTGCGTGTAGTCACGCTCAGGACTCACCTTGTAATGGGTGAGCCTGAGGTCCTGGAAACTCTGTTTCTGGGTGGGGCAGCAAGGTCTTGGGTTTCTGCATTCTGGTGCTGGCTTTATCTTCAAATGTCATCCTGGTGGCTCACATTGAGCTTAGGTGGTGGCAATCAAGGGTAGGAAGAATAGGTTCCAGGATAAAGTGACACACTCTCTCTTTACAGATGTTATTGGTTTCTACCAAGTACTGATGCCAGTGCAGAAAGCAGAGCCTCTCTCTGAAGTAGGGGTTGCAGGGGTTGAAGGGGGCTGTCATGATTAAAGGATGTCAAGGTGGCACAGTCTGCTCAGCCCAGCCTTTAGAGTCCCACAGGACACCTCTAACAGCTAGGGGATCTTGGGCAAGTTACGTAACCACCTGGAGCTTCAGCCCCCTCATCTGTAGCACGGGGACAGCAACATATTGTGTTTAAGAGACTTGTAGGGCCGGGCACGGTGGCTGATGCCTGTAATCCTAGCACTTTGGGAGGCTGAGGCAGGTGAATTACCTGAGGTCGGGAGTTTGAGACCAGCCTGGCCAACATGGTGAAATGCCATCTCTACTAAAAGTACAAAAATTCACCAGGTGTGGTGGCACGCACCTGAAATCCCAGATACTCGGGAGTCTGAGGCAGAATTGCTTGAACTTGTGTGGCGGAGGTTGCAGTGAGCCCAGATTGCGCCATTGCACTCCAGCCTGGGCGATAGAGCGAGATTCCATCTCAAAAAAAAAAAAAAAAAAAAAAAAAGAACCCACGAAAGACAGAGCTGTAAAGGTATCATGTGCTCAGCCTGGTATCTGGCTCAGGATAAGTGCTCAATTGATGGCAGTTATTTTTATTATTAATAAGGGCACAGAGGGATAACAACGAGCTAAAGGAGCAGTGCAGAGCGAGATGGAATCCACAAGGGAAAGATCTGTGAGGTCTCAGTGATGAGGACAGGAACTAGTTAGGAACTGAGTATCAACATGAGCCAGGGAAGAGGGGAGGGCAGGATGGTTAGGAGCTGCCACCAGGGGCCAGCCCTCAGGGCTGCTGGTGGTGGCAGGGGACTGCTTCTGAGCCTCTTAAGTCAACACCTTCAGAGAAGGACTGTCTCAGTCCTGTCCACACACGTGGTCCCCAAGACAATAATTAGCCAAAGCACCGAGGTAGCAAACAAGTTTCTTTTAAGGCAATCTGAGTGTGACTGAGTGCACACACTCACCTTTGGGGACCGAATTTGCTGCTTGGCATACAGCAGGATAACTGTTATTTATAACCACCGACCCTGGGAAATCGGGTTTCTCTCTACTGATCAATGCCAATCTTGAGTTGGTGGCTGTCTCTGCCTTTTGATGTCTTTATTCCACTGTCTGACCAACCTCCTCCCGCAAACTGTTTTGGCCTCTGAAGGAGGAGGAGGTCAGGCATGGTGGTGGCAGCCGTAGACAGAGCTGGTGACCTCTGAGCCAGGGCCAGCTTACTCCTGGGCAAGCTCGTGCCATTTTATTTTAGGAGAAAATCATCATCCTTCTCCACATTTCTTTTCAAGCCACGATTTTATTTGCAAGATAGGTATTGAGCTCCTAGTTGAAATGAAAATTGGAAAGGAAAGAAAAACATCTGTTAAATGTCTAATATATTTTAGATATTTTATATCATCTTTATTATCTAAAAATTTTAAATCATCCTCTGAACAGTTCTGCCAAGTCAACATCCATGTTCCCATTCTACAGATAAGGAACTAGAGGTGTGGAGAGGATAGGATTCAATTAGTAAGTAAGAGGGTCAGGATTTCAATAGAGATCTGTTTTTTTTTTTTTTTTTTTTTTTTTTCCCAGTCTTCACTCTTTCAGCAGTGCCATTTGGGGCAGATTTTTTGTTCCCTCTTCCTCCCTGGTCGCAGGGCTGAGCAGTTTATGCCTGCCACCTCCCTGCCCTCATTCTCCCAGAACAGGGAGGTGAAGCTGACAGTGGTCACCTCTGTGTCCAGCGATGTCAGTGTATCCAGCGGCTCTGTGTATACCTCCCCTCCTGCCCCACAGGGCAGCCAAGGGGAACAGAGGTAGGATGAGGGATAACCCCTGCCTGCCCACTGACCTCTCAGGGCTCTGAGATTTTCTGTCCAGAGGTGACCAGTTACCTCAATGGATTAGAGATTCTGCTCTAGGTCACGCTTGCTGCAGGCTGGAAGACCTCCCAGAAGTGAATCCCACACATATGGAATAGTTATCTTGGTCCCCACTACAGAGAAAGAATTCTTGGAGCAGCCACTAAAACACAGAAATCTTGTTTCTGTTCTTGTGTCAGATGAACCGGTTGTCCTGTGGGAACAAGAAGATCTACAGGTGGCTTCCTCTGGTGGAACCCAGTTGGTGGCTGTCTCACAAAAAGGAATTAGGGAAAAGCCAGGCCAGAAGGTCCCAGGAACTCTTTTAATTTTCCAAAGAACCCTTCCCATTACATAGCAGCCTCCTGCTTTCTCCAGCAGCCCCTTTTTTGTTGGAGATTGGGAGGTCTTCCCACGGCCTGGGGTATTCATCCCCCTCCCTGCCTCCCCTTCCAGTGTCTCCATGTCTGAGCCTTGTGACCCAGACTCTGCTGGGCCAGCCAGCCAGGCAGTAAAAGGAGATTGATGCCCTCTCCTCTTAGGAAAATCCATCACTTTTTGGCCTGTAGTTCAGATAGCTTCACCAGAGGCAGCTCTGAACAGCACTGTGTGAGCTAAAAGCATGCAGAAGCAGGGACCCAAATAGACGCGTGGACGTCAGAAGTGAAACGGCTCACTCCAGTCATTCCCCAGGGCCTGAGCAGAGGCTCTTCCTCCCGCACTCTGTCCCCAGATACACTCTTCTCCCCAGGGCTTTGTCTGTTCTGTAAGGCTTCCAGCGGGGGCTCCTGCCCTCGCCCTTGGGAAGATGCTGTCATAGAATTCCAGGATGAGCAGAGTGAGGGAAAGTTGAGTAGTGGAAGATGGAGGGTTAAGCCTCTGTGAACTGGATCATTTTAGTGGCCGTAAAGCTGGGAAGACAGAGCGAAGGCAGCCTAAGGTAAAGGAAAGAACACGGGTTTCGGAGTCATAAACAAGAGAGTCCTTCTTTGGCCTCATTTTACCTCTGTGAATTTGGCAAGTTACCCCCTGCCTCTGTTTTCTCACCTGTGAAAGGGGTGTAATAACACTTATCTCTCAGTCTCTCAGGATTATGATGAGAATCAAGTGTTGAACACACAGTAGGTGTTGAATACATAGCGTGCAAGTTAATTCCCTTTGCCCTACTGTTTCCTCGGTAAGTTCAGTGAAAGAAGCTGCTCATATGGTATTCTGGAGTCTCCAGTCTTGTTGATGCATGGGGTTGTCCACATGGAAGTGATTTGCCTTATGTGTTTGGCCCAAATCCAGCCAGTCTCTGCCAAAGCTCCCTGGTTACCTTGTGGAGCTTCTTATCCTCATGATGAGGAACCAGTCCTTTCCTGGAGGAGAATTTATGGTCGAATAAAATCTGTGCTTATTTCCCATTCCTCCTTCAGCTCCTTCCCAGCACTCACCACCCTACCCAGGGCTAAGGACAGGTATTGGTGTCAGAATTCTTTCACCCTGAAGACAACAAGAATGAGCCAAGGCTATTTTCTTCTGAGCACCTGAGTATTTCCACATTCTGGAAAAAGTTCCATTTGCACATTTGGGGAAGACACTTTGGCCCACGGAGGCTTCTGCTTGGGCTTTTTCATGTGCTCACAGAGAGCAGATGAGCTTCCAGTAATATGGTCACTTGCCCTCTGCTACCTTCAAGGCTCACAGCTGTCACAGCTTCCCCACTCCTGCAACCAGGGGTTTGCAGCTGCTGCCAGGCTCTTCTGGGATGTTGAGGGAGGGCTGAGAAACCACTCCCTGGATGCTGCTCCCACTTGGCTTGTCTGAATCTCTCAGGGGTTGTGATTCTTGCTGCCGAGGGAAGGAGAGGAGAAGGATGGATTCCAAGATGTGACCGAGGCACAGCAGCTGAAAAACAGAGTCTGGTTCTCTTTAAAGTTCCTCCATTCCCATTTTGCACTAATTGTAGCTGGGAGTGAGTGTTCTGAGTGGAGCTGGTGAGGTCTCCCAGCCCAGAGTTGTACTTAGGGACCCAGGAAAATCTATATTGTTTTGCCTTTTGTAGAGATGTTTCTAGAACATAAGAAGGCAAGAGAGGCATGATCTGCACTGCATGGATGGGTAGTTGGGCCTCTGAGAAGGGACTTGACTCAATCTAGGCCACACAGCTAAGGAGGGAAGGAGGACCTTTGAGCTAAGCCCAGGACGTCTCACCTTCTCCTGGGCTTCTGGAAGTGAGGCATGGCTAAACTGTTTGTGAGCATGGTACTTGTTTAGGCCAAGTTGTAAAGGTAAACTTCTTCAGCTGGCTAATTTCCCACCCCACCAAAGAAGCCGTGTTCTGGTGATTCTCAAAGTGTGGTTCCTGCACCAGCAGCACCTGGGAACTTAGAAATGCATATTTTCAGGCCTCAACCTGGACCTACTAGATTGGAATCCCTGGTGGAGGAGCCCAGCAATCTGTTGTAACAAGCCGTCTAGGTGATTTTGACGCATTCTCAAGTTCTCCTATTACAATGCAGAGGAAAGGTGGGATTGGGGTGGAGTCTGGGGCCAAACGGTGCTCTTCCCCAAGTAACTTGGCAACCCTGCCATGTCCTGATGCTCTGAATCCCATGCCCAGCTCAGTCACCAGGTGCGGATGCCTGATTTGGCCCTCATTTCTCCTTTTTGTAAAATAATATCAATAATAATGAAAATGCCAAAACACAGCCTACATTTTGGAGGACTTAAAGGTTTACAAACTTCCATGCTCAGGTAATAGGTAAGTTAAACTCGTACTATTCTCCCCATACCCATTTTACAGGTGAGAAATCTGAGACCCAAGATTTCATGGTTGTTGTTTTTCTGTGAGGTGCATAAGCTCTTGGAGGATCCAGGTCTTGAAGCAAGCACCTGTGGCTTCCCAGGCCTTCCCAATCCCGGCGTGTTCAGAGATGTGGGCTTGACATTGTACAGCTGCCATCGTGAGCCCTGTCTTCACTCCCAGGCCGTGCCAGGACACTCACCTTGCAGAACCTATGTGTCATCCCTAGTCACCTGGGAATGATTAGGTAGCAGGAGCAGGTGGCCTCCCGAGAGAGGGCCTGACTTCCTATTTTCTCGCAGTGGGAGACTCTTTAGCCTTGCCCTCCAAGGTCAACAAATACCATTCCTCAGAGGCTGAGAAACAGAGACAGAAAGTGTGAAGAAGGGAACCAGTTTTAATCCCCTCCCTGTAAAGACTGGGGCATAGCCCTGCAGTGTGTAGCAGCCGCATTGCAGCCTGTGGCTTGGGAGGAGCGGTCGTCAGCAGCTGTTAACGTGCAGGTCTGTCCTAGGGGGAGGAGAAAATAATAGTCTGTAAATGCTTCCTCTCGCAAATCCTTACTAGGCAGATCATCTGCGACACTGTGGGGATACCAAGGACTCTGAAGGGAGGAAAAAGATTCCTGTAGTTTATTCTTAAAGGAATCCCCAAACCAAAAAAACACTACCCCAAGGCTTCCAGCCATGCCCCTCTGTCCCTATTACGTCTCCTCATTTATGGGGATGGTCTGCCATGGCCCAGGATCTGCAGCTTTCATTTCTCGACAAAGTCGCTTGGGATAATCCACTTTTTGGCTCAGCAATGCTCTTCAAAATGTGAATACAGGTATTTAATGGGCTTCTGCCTGTTGAACAATTAATGTAAAGGTCAGTGAGTAATCTCCTGTTTGCTCTTTTCATCGCCAGCCCACTGCTTGTACAACTCCTTCGTAGCATTCTTTCCAAATAGGTGGGAGGGCTGAGGTCACAGCTCTGCTTTCTCCAGGCACACAGACCTTAATTAGGTTGCTAAATTAGCAGAGGCAGGGGCAACCCTTCTCTCTGCACACACCCTCGTTCTTGGATGGACAGTGAACTTTCCTTTTGTGATCTCATTGGTCTTTCTCTCTTTCAGAGAAGGGTTGGCCAAGTAGGGGTTTCCCCCAGATAATCTTAGCTACCCGTTAGTAGTCTCTGTCATGAACCAGGCACTGTGATGGGGTCACTACAGCCTTTATGTTACCACAAAAACCAATGTGTCTTTGTGTGTGTGTGTGTGTGTGTGTGTATGTGTATGTGTGTGTGCATGCGTGTGTCTTGTCTTCTACGTCTTTACTTTGTCCTCATCACTGGGCCAAGCTCTTTATATGGATTATCTCATTTAATCTTCACAAGAATTCAGCAAGGAAGTTGTTCTTGTTAATCCCATTTTACAGATGAGGAAGTTGAGGCTCTGGAGCTAAATAACTTTCCCAAGCTCAAAAAACTAGTAATGGCGTGGACCCAGGATTCCAACCTGATTCTCAATCGTACCCTGGAAAATTTGCTTTTCAAAGTATGACCAACAGCAGAGGGACATGACCTGGGAGTTTGTTAGAAATGTAGATTCTCAGACCCACTGGATTAGAATCTTCATTTTGACAAGATTCCCAGGGGATTCATGTGCACAAAACTGTGGAGACTGCTTTGTGCTATCTCCAACAACTCTGGCTAATGAATACCAGAATCCTGTGCATTAACTACTAACTCCATTTGCCAGCAGAGGATGTTGTGGTTTAGAGGGGTTAGGAGTTGTTCAGGGACAGCATTGAGATTTGATTCTGGCCCATACTCTCAAACCACAGAGGGATGTCAGTTTTTATGCTAAAGCTGGTGTGCTAGAGTTTGCCTTTGCCTGCTGTAGGCTCAGAACCAAGTTCTCCACGCTAGACCTCTGTACTCTTCTGTCTCCCTGTGTCACCAAACGAGGACTGATTTGCTGCCCTCCTCTTTGTCCCCATCCTACAGATGTGCAGCACATTAAGAGGAGAGACATCGTGCTGAAGCGAGAACTGGGTGAGGGAGCCTTTGGAAAGGTCTTCCTGGCCGAGTGCTACAACCTCAGCCCGACCAAGGACAAGATGCTTGTGGCTGTGAAGGTAAACCCCAGAGGCATGCCGGCACCAGGAGGAGGGCTGGCTGAGGGCCCAGGGAGGGAAGGAAGAGGCTCCCTCCATTTGAGAAGATAGTGCTCAATTGGCTTTCTCAGATGCAATCAAAGGACTTTGCTCCGAGGTCAATGAAGTTTCCTAGGGACCAAAACAACTTCCTTTGGCTTCCAAGGTCAAGGGCTGCAGCACTTAAGGGGGCTATGCCAGGGGAGCAAGTTTATTCTTGTAAATGACCCTGGTCCTTTTTTAGTGGCCCTGTGGTTACCTCTGTCCCAGGCCTGGCCCTCCACACTCCACCCTTCACCATGTAGTGGCTTTACAGGACGTGCTGTCTGTGCCTGGAAAGTCACATGGCCATTTCTCAGTAGCTGAGCTGTTGTAGAGCAGGCTGATTAAGGAGGACTGGGTAACCACTTCCCAAGGGCACAGAAGTCACTGAGAATAGATGTTGAGGGAGGGGGGTGCAGCAGGGAGGTAGGGGGTTAGCACTGGGAGAATAGTGAGTGAGGTTGGAGAAATTCTTAGGTACTTCCCATGGGTTTCAGGTTCAGACCCCAAGGGGCAGCATGCCTGGGAGAAACTTCCTCCTGGCAGCTGCTGAAGGGCTCCCTTAACCACAGGGCTTCTGTATTGCCAAGACACGTGGCAGATTTGCAGCAGGAGCTGAATTGCTTGGGGTAGGAGAGAAGGGACTTTGCTACTACTAGTTGTCCTTCCAGACTCTTCCACCCAGCAGTCAACAGCTTCTCTTTGTAAACCAATATTGGACAAATTTTTGAACATGGTTAACATAAAAAGAGTCAAGTAGCCTCATGGAGGCACGCACAGATCTCTGGAGCCCTTCTCTGGAGTCTGGAGTGGCTTCATTGGGTGCAGTGAGCAGGCTTCTGAGGCCAGTGTAGAGCCTGCAATGTCCTGAGATGTGGGCTGACCGATGCCAGAGATATGGCTCCCCGTGAAGACATTCACCCAGACCTCACAATGGTCCCATCCTTAGCATTGAGGGATCACAAATGCAGTTCCTGTTTCTTCAACTTTTGGGTCTCTGTATTCATAGTCTTGTGTATCTACAGATTGTTTCTGTCCACAGAGGGCAAATAGCCTCGAAGAATGAAGGCAATACAGTGCAGGCATAGCATGGGCATCAAAGAGCCTGGGTGCAAATCCCAGTTCTACCACTGATAAGCTTTGGGACATTTCACAAAACACTCAACTTCTTTGGGCCTCAATTTCCTTATCTGTATAATAGCAATAATAATATCCTCTCCTTAGAATGTTGGGGATTAAATTACATAATGTGTCTAAAATTCTTAATGCACTTCTTAGGGCTTTTTATTGAGTAAAGACTCAATAAAAAGTAGTTGGCATTTGTTTCTATCATTATCATTGTCATTGATGTTGATATTACTGAATGTGCTTAGATACATGACATATGATCTGCCAAGCTTGCAATGACTATCTAGAATAGGAGTCACCAAACTTTTTCTCTAAAGGTAAATATTTTAGACTTTGAGGGCCTTATAACTCTCCATTGCAACTCTTCCTGTGTTGTTGGAAAGCAGCATAACAATACATTCACTAATGAGGGCGGGTATTTTCCAATAACTTTTTTTATTACCAAAATAAGCATAGTTTGCTGACCTCTGCTCTAGAAAATAAACAAGAGTCCTGCATCCTAAAAGGCTAATGATTATTATTGCTGTACATCCTGTAAATAAACTTGCTCAGTGTGCCTGCATAGACATGAGATGGTCAGATGGACAAGGGTGTCTTTAAACAGCTTGGAGCAGGGATGTAGAAAGGTTTCTAATGTTGACCCTAAACTTAGGATCTGCACTGCCCTGGCATTTTTAATATATAGGATGACACTAATCCACGGGGTGTTCCGGCATCCATCTGGGGACTGGAGAATGAACTGAACATTTTTGCACTTTCAGCAGAGAATGAAATGATGGCTGAAAACCCTAGGAAATGTTTCCCCGAGTGGTCTGGCATTAAGGGGCAGTACCCAGACCGAGTAATGCAGAAAATGTGTTTCTGTTTCCATCCTTTTAAAAGGATTTCCTTCTTTCCTTGGATCTGGAGGAGATGAACCGTCTGGGATTTTACACGTGTCACTCAGTGGATCTGCCTAGTGGTCAGCCTGGAAAAGATGCCTATCTCCTCCAGACAACGTCTTGGAAGTGGTGTTTCCTGCTTCCTCCCCTCCTTAGATTCCACTTCTTTTTGCAAGACCCTTCCTTTTGAGTTAGTTCTCATGTTGATGCAGAGTAATTTTATACCTCTAAAGAACACATACAAGTATAACCCACAATAAAGTTTTCCCAAATCAATTGGCAAAAATGTTTTGCCCAGCAGTTGCTATGGTACAAACAAAGAAGCAGAAACCACAGCCTATTTTTAAGGTGCTTACAGCCTGCTGGGGAGAGGGAGCAGGATTGCACAGGACATAATCTGCACATATGTGTAGTATAAGTGTGACATTAAAATAACCTCATGTGTGCGACTCTTAAATAAGTGGTGCCACTCTGAAATCATCATTAGACAAATAGAACATTTACACAGCATTCAAACCCAGTCAACCCCCTTCCTTTGCAGAGGAGGGAATGAGATCCTTCTCCCCATTTTTCCTTTTTTTTTTTCGTCTCTGTCATTTCATACTCTGTCCCGGGTGAACCTCAGTGGTCTTCTGATTCATGAATTCTTCATGTGGTTTTATCTGGTCTAAAGCTTTTCCTGTCTGTGGAGGTTTTTGCTTTCACTTCAAAGACCATATCTTTTATTTCCAAGATATCTAATCGGTTCTTAATTTTGTTACCTTAATTTTATTTCTCCCCCTTCTTGTGGCATGCCTTCTTGTTTTCTTTAGAAAATGTATTTCTTCACTCCTTTTGAGCATTTACTTATTTAAAAATCTTTTTGAGCCATTCTAATAAAATTGATTTATCTTCAGGAAATTTATGTCCTGATTTTTGATAATATTAGTCATTTGGATTTAGCATTATATTTCTTCCTGCCCAGCACCCCTGGGCAGCTTTTGGGTTCCTTTTGGCTTGAAGGGTGTTTTGGTTTTTGTTTTGAGTAGTCACAATTTCTAGTTTCAATTACTTTAAATTGAAGCAGGAGCTTAAAACATTTGTGAAACAATCTGAGTGCAGAATCTCGGATTTTTACTATTTTCCCAATGTTTTTATGCTTTTTCCTTCCACTCTTAACAGTATTTTTAACCACTGACCTTTAGCAGGTTTTTTAAAAGCATTCATCCTAGCTTCCATAAAAACTCTCCAATCTACATTCATATTTCATTGGTTTCTAGAACATTTCATTACATTAAGTAATTACATTAGCAGGTTTAGTTGTCATGAATGAGTTTGGGAACAATCACTGATGACTCTTGGTAAGCCCCTCTGTGGGAAAGTAGTATCTCCCTGGGTATCCAACTTGCAGGGAGTGTTCAGGATCTCATGTTCTGTAGAGGTCATAAGGAGTGCCAGCTAATCTGGGCTGTCATGTAGACACAGCTCAGTGGAGAGTTTTCTGGCAAAAGGAGGAGCAAAGGCCCTGGGGCAGAGAAAATCTTGGAGAGTACGGAAAGGCCATGAGACTGAAGTGTAATAAATGAGGCAGGAGGAGTGTGTGCGAGGACAGGACGCAAAGAGAGATGGGGAGACCAGACCTTATAGAGTCCATGACTATGTTAAGGAGTTTGGATTTTATACTACAAACACTGGGAAGCCAATGGCCAGTTTTAAGCCAGGAAGACAGATAAGAGAGGGGCACCCCTGTATGTAATAACTACCCATCTTCTTTCCTGGTAAAGTTGTGTGAGACTCTCACCCAGAGGAAGTGGCAGTGGATTTTGAGTCACTAAAAGAAAGATGATTTTATAATGAAAGGAGGTTGATAGGTGTGCATGTGTGCGTGCGTGTGTGTGTTTTACCACTTAGGACTTTGAACATTTAGGAATGTGTGTATATCATGTGTATATCATAAAAATGAATTTCAGGATATTAATGAAATCTGAAACTGAACATTCTTTGAAATATCTCCCCCTAAAAAAAAAAAAAAAGAAAGTAAGATGGAGGGCAGCAGGGTTTGGATGACATGAAGATGCTGAATGACCCAGGAAGAGTTGGGAGCTGTCGAGAAGTTGTGTTCTTGCCATCTAGCCTATTTTCCTTCCATCCAAATAAACAGCCTTACTGAACCCTCTCCCCAAGGCAGAGTGGACATGACAGCTGATGCACGTAGAGGGGAAGATAAGAAAGGGAAATGTCCCCAAACTTTGGAAGAAAGAGAGGGAGAGAAGAAGGGCAAATTCTAGCTCTCCTTTTTGTACTAAAGATACTATACAAACGCCTGAGCCAGGAGCCTCCCCAGCTTCAGAGACCTCTTGGCAAGATGCATGTCTCTACACTGATAGTTGGTAACTATGATAAATCGGTTCTTTCCCATGCCACTGACTGGTGACCCATTTTGAGGTTTCCCAGACATGAAGATGTTAAATGTGGACCCCACGGAGAGGGGCCAGAGAGTCACCGGCCCTATTTTCCTCCTCATTATTCTCCTCCTGTCACCTCTGTTCTAATTGCATCAGTCCCTGGGGACAGGGCCACTGGCAGCTCCCAACCCTAGTTGCCATACCCTACGTTTGGCCAATTAGGTAAGAACTTCAGGTTTGACTCAAGAGCTGGAAAGCCCACTTTGAAAGCACAGAGAAGGGATGTAGAAGACTGAAAGTAATGGTGGTTGCTTTGTGCCCATCTCCCAAATGAAGAACCCATCTCTGCCTCACAGTGCAGGGTGCCAGCCTGGGGGATGCTTGCTGGTGCTGCTCAAGAGCTGAGAACAGAAATATCCCAGGGCTGTCATTGACGTCCAGACTGTGGGAGAGAATGATTTAAAGAGATGGAGAGAGGCCATTTGGCTGGCCCCAAATTTGACCTACTTTTCCCTCTCATAAATCCAGCATTCACATAAATCTTTGTATTCTCCCATCCCACCCATGCTGGGTTCAGTTTTTTCCCCTTCTTCTTCTTCTTCTGCATGAAAATAAATAAACCACTCTGCATCATTCAATACCCATGACCCAGCCCATACAGCTCAAGGCTGCTGCTGGGAGCTGGGTCCCCAGAAGAGACTGTCTTTCACCATGACTCTCTGACTTCTCAAATGTCTTTGTTCTGGCTATAGGTAGACATTACATCCTATTCGTTTATTGTTAGGTAGCTTCCCAGAGCAAGCAGCCAGATTTGAAGTGGAGAACACATAGAATGAGGTCTGGTAAAAATCAACATTGGGCTGATCACATGTCCTTGCCCTATCCTCAAGCCTGGCACCTTTGCTGGGCTCAGCCACTCTGTTGGCAGCCAACATCCCACCCCTTTCCTGACCCTCTCTTCTATACTTCCATGTCCTTTTATTCCTCTGCCCACCATTGTCTTGGGGACCTGCCTAGTGACTAATTTATCCCATAAATTAATTCAGGCAGGTGTGCTGGGCAGGAAAGTGTCCTGGGCTCCAGACTCAAGCTGTTACTTGTTACGTGATCTTTGGCAAGTTACTTCCCCATCCTGAACCCCAGTTATCTCATCTGTAAAATGGGAAAGTTACACTAGATAACTTTCGACTTTTTTGTCAGCCGTAGATTAATTTAATCAAGCAGTATTTTTATGAAGCCTCCAAATTTTAAAAAGAATAGAAGGTGGTGCTGGTTGAAGTTGAAGGGGGCTTGATCTCTGGCTGGAAGACCACACCTCCACTTGATGACCTTAGAGGCATTGCTACTGAACTTTGGGGCACTGTGAGGCCCACCAGGAGAGTACTGAGGTCCAGTCAAACTCTAAGTGTCTGTCATTTAATTAGTGTGAATGTGAGCTGATTCCTGGACAGGCTCAGCCTCAGTTTCTCCAACTCCAGAAATGAGCAGGTAGGAGTAGATGATGTCTAGGGCCCTTTTCATACTAAAAGTCCATCATTTCTGGTGTGTGCTAAGGGCTGAGAGGTTTGATGGACCCCCCCAGATACACCTCTTTTGGCATATTCACACTACTGCAGTTCTAGAACCAAGGAAGCCCTACAGATTTCAGATAATGGGGCTGCAGGGACAGGAGAAAGATCTCTGGTGAGGGAGACATTTTGGCACTTGCATGATCTATAGGAGAGGTCAGTCATCCTGAAAAAGCCAGATGCCTAGCAGAGAGAATGCAAACCAATCTCTAGTCTGTCTAGATTGTCACTCCCCTGAAAATGGTGAGCCAATATTACACTCACTTCCTCATTACCTTGTGTTGTGTCTATTGAGATTGCTAAAGTGTGTCAGTTGAAACAACTCAATGTTGGGCCCCATTTGCCTTCTGGCCTCATAGGGAGGGTGGAGAGGCTGGAGAAATCGGGGCGCCCACCTGCATAAGCTGCTCCTCATGCAGAAAGGGCCTCTCCTCTTCACAGACCATTTTCCATCTGGCCAGCATTGCTGGGCCCATGGCAGTGCCCTAACCAAGGTCCTTCAGATGTGCTCAAAGGCTTCATCTTTGGCCTTGTAGTCCCCTTCTGGTGCTGGGAAATCCACATGCACAACTTACACTCTACCTGGGTATATTCATCTTCCTGGGCCCTACAGGAAGTGGCCTGGTTTGCACCTCTTTCTCACACTTGAGTTTTCACCCTGACAGAGGCTGAATGGTGGCATTCTGGTGGCCCCCAGATGCTCCTTTCCATCCTGCACTAGGACTTTGAAGGACTCTGCCTGGCCCTGAGTGTATCTGAGATTTCTGTCCACTAACTGCCATTCCCGTAGCTGCCGCCCCACTCTTCCCACCCTATTGCTTCCTCCAAACCCCTATTGGGAGAACACAGGTGTCTTCCAGAGGTCAAAGTGCTCACTCTCCTCTGCAAATGTAGATACCTTCACAATCTAAAAGCAAGGACTCCAAAAGACAAGGATATTTTATTGTGTTGCCTGCCCAGTTTCCAATAGGCTATGAGCATGTGACTAATTCACAAAGCTAAAGTATTGGGGCAGTGGTTTTCACACTGTTTATTCCAGCTGTGGGACAGTTTCCTCAAAGAAAACCTTAGGAGCAGGGGCTTTTGCCAGGCTTTCCTCCTCACAGCCCCTCCAGCTGCCATGTACACTCACCTGCGGAAGCCCAGGGCTCTGTGAAGAACAGAGCTTGAAATCACTGGAGAGTGCACGGGATGTGGATGTCAGAAAGTGGGTTTCTATTTCTGCAGGGATGAAAATGCTGGAGAAGGAAGGAGTCAGGCCTTATAGTTGAGATTGAGCTTCATTGTCTTTAAATTCCATTTAGATTCATATTTATTGGTAACCCAGTGGTGTGTGGGGCCAGTTTCTTTCCAGGAGTAGAAAAGACAGCCCCCTGCCCTGTAGTTGTTAAACACCTGTGTCCTGCATTGTTCCTAGGCCCTGAAGGATCCCACCCTGGCTGCCCGGAAGGATTTCCAGAGGGAGGCCGAGCTGCTCACCAACCTGCAGCATGAGCACATTGTCAAGTTCTATGGAGTGTGCGGCGATGGGGACCCCCTCATCATGGTCTTTGAATACATGAAGCATGGAGACCTGAATAAGTTCCTCAGGTAAGCAAGGATTGTCTTCCCCTGCACCTGACCCCAGTCCCACCGAACCCTTGGGGTTTTCCCTGGAGCCAGAAATTATACTACCCCCTCTAAACACTTTCCTCTCAGGATGAGAAATTAGATGAACACATTCATTCTTATACATGATCTCCTTAGCAGCCAGATTCAGGCCTTTGTCCCCGGTTTGTAGGGAAAACAAGTTGAGGATACTATGATAAGTATCCTATACTATTCTTCCTCATTCCAAAATGGACAGGGTCTGGAATAGGTCCAGAAGGAGTCTGGAAGCCCCACAGCCTGTGGCTTACAACTCCAAGATTCTAGGGCCACCCTTCTCTGATGTTGCAAATAGCTTTCTCCCTTTGTGCCTTAAGTTTCTCACTTGCAAAGTGAGGCTAGTATCTTACACCCCTCCTGGAAACCTTCCTGCTAGAGACTTTTTGATGATGAGTAAGAAGGTCCAAGGTTACAATTCATCAGGTGGCAGAGATGGTTGAAACAAAAAGGGGACCGATTTTCTTCAGGCTAATTCTAGAACTGTACAGTACAGTGTCCACCTATGGCCACTTAAATTTAGATTTACATTAATTAAAGTTCAATAAGGTTTAAAAATTCAGTCGCACTAGTTCCTTGGTTGCAGTAGCCATATTTCAACTACTTGTTAGTCACATGTGGCTAGTTTTTACCATACAGGGAAGCACAGTATAAATGTTTCCATCAATAGAAAGTTCTATTGGATAGTACTATTCTAAAAAGAAAGGATTTGTTGTAAGAAGGGTTTCTCCGAGCCTAGAACAAGACCATCTGGACTTCGAGGGCTCTTAATGTAACTGGTAAGAGACTGGAACGCCAGCCAGAAGTTCTGGATGAAGTTTCAAGGGTGGCTTTCCCTTCCCAAGAGAAGACAGCATCTATTGCAGAGTTAGGACTCCTCTGCCTTCTGCAGATGCCACTTCCAAACAGTGCCCAGATGTGGAAGGGACAGCCATGTGAAGGTCTTTGGAACCCAAGGCCCCAGGAAGCAGGTTAAACACACAGGCCCTGTATACTTAGGGTGTGGCCTCTGCGACCACCACAATTTGAATCTCATTGAACTCTGTGGCTGAGGATAAGATTTCCAAAGTTCAAATGTAAATTATAGAAGGCTCTAGCCCACTCACCAAAAACTGCTAAGCATCCTCTTGAAGTGGGACATTCAATAGGGTGTCGTGGTTTTGAGGGGCAAAGAAATGAGTTAGTACCAGGCAATGGAATGGAGGACTCTCTGGAGCTCTGCTTATGAGTCAGGTTTCTATAAAGATGGCCCTAAAGGAAATGAAAGCATCTGTGGGATGTTCTAAGCCTTCTAAACCTGGATTCACAATGAAATGGATTCCTTTCCTGGAGAACTTTGTCTTTAGCATAAGACAGATTTGGGTTCATATCTTGGATTTGTCACATCTTAGTTGCAAATTGGAGCAAGTTATTAAATCTTAATTTTCTCTCCTAGAAAACACGACTATTAATAACTGCTTCACGGGGTTGTTGCTATGAGTATTAAATGACTATATGTATAATGCTTAGACAAGTTTTGCAAGTAGTTCAGTGATCAGCCAATGGTAGCTGCTATTGAAGTTATTACTATTACTATTTTGTGAGAATTGTGAACCATGGTAGCTTCTAATCTAGGCAACACTCTTTCTCAATATTCGGGATAGCCCTCACTTTGTCCTTTTGTTCCCCTGGGGCCCAAAGGGCATGCCCTACTTTTCACCACATCCTATCCTTACATTCAGCAGTATCTCCAGCCCCAAGAGCCACCAGCAGGGTTAAAGAAAGCTCCTAGGTGCCTCTGCACTACTGTCATACATGATAAAAGGGAAGAGAAAGAAGATAGTAGGAGGGAAATAAAGAGTGAGAGCCTAGAGTAAAGATAAGGAGTGGAAGAAGCAGAAAGTAAGAAGAAAAGAAAAAGGAGTACAGAAGAAACAGAAAGAAGTGTATAAGGTGAGGGGCAGTGCCAGTGCCTTGCCTTCTCCATGGCAGACAGCATGGGGAATGCATGCCTGTGAGTACAGTTCTACAAGGACTTGCTGACACTCTGAAGACCTCTGTGTCTCTATGGGATCCCTTCCTGAAGACAGCATGGGGGAGTCTCTCTAAATCAAGGCTCGACAGTCTTCCTGGGGCAATTTTGCAGCAAAATCTGAACTTTAGCCTCCACTACTGACCAGATTCCCAGTAGGTTCCATTAATCTGTCTTCCTAGGCTCTATCAGTCGAGGGTGACCTTCTAAAGAATTCTCTGAGACCAGAAGCTCTTAGCAACAGGCCGCACCAACCCTTCCTGGGAGGCATCCTGTCGGCTGTTCTCACAAACACAGCCTCCATAACCCGCAGGCCAACCCTGCCTGCTCTCACATCTCCATATTGGTGGTGTTGAGAGGCAGGCTGGAGTGCACTCTCCAGGCAGACAGAAGGGAGGGCTTCTCTGCTGACCCCTCTTCCTTGTGAGCTGATGCAGCCTTCCTCCTTCTGAGGAGTGAGGTAGGCAGAGCCCACCGGAGATAGTAAAAGGGATGTGCTCCTACTTAATGGTGCTTTTCAGAGGAAATCAGAGAAGCAGTAAAGCAGGCAGAGGCCTTGCTGTACACCAGGGCTCCTTGGTCCACAACTTCATAAATAAGGGCCCTGGGTGTGGTTACGGCTCACTGGGCTTTCTAGAGAAAAGAGTGAATGCTAAAAGTGACTGATATGATCAGGCAAGGTGTTAGAATAACAAATCCGGGCTTGATTTGGGATGGAATGGGTTCTGGGGGTACCCCAGACCCATGCTTCAAGGTCAGAGGCTCTCTCCACTGTGCACTGCTATGGCCATAAGTTACCCAGTGCTAAGCGGTGTGGTGGAGTGGTTAGGAGTGTCCCAGGGCCACTGAGCGTGGACTGCCAGCATCAGCCCTGGGAGCTAGTGGGAGATGCAAATGAGCAAGCTCACCTAGCCAATCAGAATCCTAGGGGGCAGGGCCAGGGAATCTTGGAACAAGCACTCCCAATGTTCCTTTTAGAAGCTCACTTTTTACAGTCACATGTCTGGTTTCAGATCCTACTTCCTGATTTCCCATATGGCCATTCTGGACCTCTGGGACTTTGGCTGAGCAATCTCATCATTTTGTGCCTCAATTTCTTTATTTCAAAATTGGGGTGGGAAAATTGAGTGAATTACAATATTTAAAACAATCAGAGCATATAGTAAGGGCTATGGCAGAGTTATTTGTTGTTTTGCTAATTATTCTATAATAGACATCTAGCACCTGTGAAAATCCTAGGAAGCAGTGAAATATTAAAAAGAGTAGGTTTATTCCCTCTTCCATTTGAGTATGTCTGCTCTCATCTTAGCCAGAATCTGGTTGTGGAGTTTCACCCTTACCCACACGTACATAATCTAATTTGGGGCAGATAAAAATAAGCCATAGGCAGGATGGAAAGGGAAATTTTATTTATTTCTGTGGGGCATTCCAGAGGGCAGGGACCCAGGAAGGCCTTTCTCCTTGATCTCCTGATTTCTCTCTGCCCCCTCTCTTCTCCCCATGCTCTTGCAGGGCCCATGGGCCAGATGCAATGATCCTTGTGGATGGACAGCCACGCCAGGCCAAGGGTGAGCTGGGGCTCTCCCAAATGCTCCACATTGCCAGTCAGATCGCCTCGGGTATGGTGTACCTGGCCTCCCAGCACTTTGTGCACCGAGACCTGGCCACCAGGAACTGCCTGGTTGGAGCGAATCTGCTAGTGAAGATTGGGGACTTCGGCATGTCCAGAGATGTCTACAGCACGGATTATTACAGGGTAAAGTGACTTTCCCAGCTGCAGGACTCAGCCACAGAGCTAGCGCCTTGCTTACATGTCTTTTTCATTGTCCATTAACCCTGTCACTCTGGCACACACATATACACACCCATGCCCAGACATGCACTCAACAGTTATCTTTTGGCCTCTCTTGCATCTTGACATACCTGTTTATTATGTTCTCAATTGCCCACTCCTTCTTTCTTCTTGGACATTTAACTGAACTGTAATCTGTACATTGCAATAACATATGCATTGTGTTCTTACGTGCTTCAATACTCATTCTTCATGTAAACATACTCATACATGTATATGTATGTGCCCAAACACACACACAGACACACCCAACTTGATACTACATTTAATGTCTCCCTACCCAGTCCCAGATCTAGCCTCACCCATGACACATTTTATTCTCTGAAATTATCTTGTGATTATGTAAGAATTATCTTGTTTCCAAAAGTAGATCTTGATGAGAAGAGGAAACCTAAGTAAAGTAACAAAGATGGCTAATATATTGCTGAGCATTATCCAAATGGGCTGGAACAGATGAGGAAAGGAAGCATGTTATCTGTTGCCAACTTTGGAGAGAGGACAGGTTAGATCTTAGAAAAGCTTTCTGATTGTGAGAAGATCCATCCTGCTCAGTTTTACCTTCATATAGTCATCTGCTTTACATTAACAAGAGTCTTATTTTGCTCCTAGAATCTTTTTTTTTCCCTAAGTCTTTGGGAATCTTTTTTTCCATGGATTATTGACTGATTCTGATAGTGTTATTATTTCCAGGGAAAGGATGAATGGCCATGAGTGTCACTTATCTCAGCAAGGGGAAGTATGAGTGCAACCTGAGACACAGAGATAACTTCTGCAAACTGAGTGAGGGCAGATTGCTAAAAAATACAGAAGATCCAAGGCTGGGAGTGGTGGCTCATGCCTGTAATCCCAGCACTTTGGGAGGCTGAGGTGGATGGATCACGAGGTCAGGAGTTCAAGATCAGCCTAGCCAACATGCTGAAACCCTGTCTGTACTAAAAAATACAAAAATTAGCTGGGTGTGGTGGCATGTGCCTGTAGTCCCAGCTACTCGGGAGGTTGAAGCAGGAGAATTTCTTGAACCTGGGAGGTGGAGATTGCAGTGAGCCAAGATCACACCACTGCACTCCAGCCTGGGCGACAGAGCGAGACTCTGTCAAAAAAAACCAAAAAAACAAAAAAACAAAAAATCTATTTTTGGGACATCAAAGGAAAGAGGAGTTTGGATAGACATTATAAGGAGAGTGTGGGACAATGTTTTGGAGGTCAAGGGATGTCATATTCCTTTTCAGCTGTTATAACAAATACCGCAGATGGGATAGGTTACAAAAAACTGAAGTTTATTTCTCATGGTTCTGGAGGATGGGAATTCCAAGATCAAGGTGCAAACAAATTAATTGTCTGGTAAAGGTCTGCTTCCTCATTTATAGATGGCCATCTGCTTGCTGTGTCTTCTCCATATGGCAGAAGGGTTAACAGATCTCTCTGGCATCTCTTCCATATGAATGCATTGCCCTCATAACCTAGTAACTTCCCAAAGGCCTCACGTCCTAACACCATTACCTTGGGGCTGTTTCAACATATGAATTTGGGGGGTACACAAACATTCAGTGTATTGCCAGGATCATGGCAGCCAATTGTCTCATCTTTGGAGAAATGAGTGATCATACCGTGAGTCAAATAGATATGATTGTCCTGTTGACCTGAGCATAGTGGACCAGAGGCTGGGAATTTGAGGTGTGTGCAGGTCAGTTCTATCTTGATGTTCCTGATGGCCTAAATGAGATCACTCAGACGTTAAAACAGATCAGTCAAGATACTTCATTTTAGCAATAGGTTGGAGAAAAATGGAATGTTTGAGAAATGACCTTGGTTGTTAGAAAATGACTTGTTTGTTGTGCAACCAAAGAATGGCAGATGATGTACCGTTGTGAGAGAATATAAGACAAAGCATACAGTGTCCACAGCAAGCTGGGTAGCCTCACTAGCCACCTGTCCTATCCAGTATTCCCAGGTATGGAAAAGGAGACATGATGTGGCAGTAGTCATAGACCGATGGCCAGGGCAGACCTGCCAGAAAATATCAAAGAGGAGTCTTTCTTTAGTGTCTAGACCATATTTTTTATTCATTTCCAAGAGAGGCATTGGTGTGGTTACTAAGAGGGGGATGGGTCATAGATTTCTTAGAGTGGGGCTGGAGCTGGCATCATTTAATTGCCTTTCCACTTTGTTTAATGGGGTTTGCTGGTCTGTCTGACTGTGCTCAGATCTATGTAGGTGTTGATGAAAACAAGGGATGGCTCATTGTTTTTCTCTGTGAAAGGCAGATGTTTGATTATGCCAAGCTGATAACTACTGACTTCACTGGAGTCTCAGGAAACTATGTCTGACCAGAATGTGCTAACTGGCCCTTCAAACTTGCTTCTAGATGTGCTGTTAATATTTATTGAAACTAGTTTAAAAGAGGAAAAACAAAAAATAAAAAGATCACATCCCCAATTGATATTTCTTTGTCCTTGCCTTAATAACTGTGAACTGTTGCTCTTTATGCCTAAAAGGGCTACAAGGAATACATCTATCTAATTTCTGTAGGTGCCAGGGTAGATTAGAATTTAAGGAAGGGAGAGTGAGGTGGGAAAATGTACACACTACAGGTAACCTCAATTCCTTCTTCATGAGTTCTAAGGGCGATGTTAGCCAAGGCCAGCTAGCTCGAAATGTATGTTTTTGGTCCCAAGGAAGTTTGAACAAAAAAGGATAACTCTTACAGTAAATACACAGCACACCATTGGAAATCTGTGTATTCTACTGATGAGACATTTAAAGACCAGCTTGTGGCATATCTTCATGTTCACTTACTCACAGTGTCCTAATGTATACACCACTCCTCATTCCCTACTTTTCTGTAAAATGAAAGGCAGAAGTAGATTTGCCTGAAGTCACATCAAAATGAACCCTGAAGTCTTATTATCCATATTGGAAGACATTGGAATGACAATGGAATTCTTGGATTTAGGCCTAATCTTACCTGTGTTCACATCCTAATGTGCAACCACCATTAGCAACCATGTAACCTGAATGCATTTTCCTCTAACCTCTGTTCAATTTTTCTATTGTTAAAGTGAGAACAAAAATATTCACTCAACAGAGTTGTGTTGATGTTAAGCAAGTTAATTTGTATAAAGAGCTTGTAGTACAATACTTACTGGATAAACTCCTGTTTATATTATCTTACTAGTCCCCCTCACATCCAAGCCAAGACAACTCTGTGGATAATTTTATTTCCATATGCAATTCCTGGGACAGAGAGAGGGACTCCGTGACCACTAGAAGATAAACTGGATCATGCAGCTGCTCCAAAGGAGTAGAATCTTTACATTGACCACCTCAGGAAAATGTCTTTCTTAAGGTTTCAACATGTATGGAAATACTGCTCATGAATCCTAGAGCTAAGTCCACATTTGGGTGATTTGTGTAAAACTTTTTTGTTCAGTATACATCGGCTAAGGCCTTGGAGGAATGCTCTGATTTGTCAGATCGCGAGAATACTGTGAAGGATTCTCTCTATGAGCTGATACCCCCGGACAGGTTTGTACCTCTCTGCTATCACTGATTACTGAACTCATTTGGGCCTAAGAGTTTGTTGGCTTCTTATGCCTAACACCACTAAGTGCAGATAATCCAGGCCTGTGTGTGTGTGTGTGTGTGTGTGTGTGCATACACGTGTGCTTGCCTGCCCAGTGCAGATTCCAGAATGTGCATATAAGGGCATGGGGAGAGATGGAGATAAACTCCTCCTTATAGTCTTTCTTTTTCATTTTTAATTTGTTAAAACGAAGAGGCACCATCTGGCTCATACATAAGTGGTATACAGACGATTTACAAAGGTGAACTGCCTAATTTCCTGTTACACATTTAGAGAGAGAAAACAAATGTTCCCACACCAGAACACCAGAGCGATTTGTTCTCTCTTCTTAAGACATTCACAATGACAAACACCTTTTCCTTCTGTGAATCACTGACTCAATGCTTCCAAGATTACCTTTACACTGGCTTTGACAAGGGTAGGCTTTGGGTACCATTATATCTTTCTAAGAACATCAGAGAACACTAAGAGATTGATAGTCAAATCTAGTATTAAAGTTTTGAATGTCCTGAAGGGGAGAAGGTTGAGATTTCAGAATACAGATGTTTTCAGATGTTTTGATTTGGGGAGAGGAGTCAATACACTGAGATCAGGGAGGAATGGAATGAGGGGGGAATGGGATCCTACTAATGTAGAGCTCCAGGAGTGTTCCTTTCTGTTCATCCTGCTGTCCTGTGTGCCTGTGTGCTGTCCTGTGTGACAGTACCTGGCACTTGTTAGGCACCTAATAAAAGTATGAATGAGTGAAGTCAGAAAGGGAATTTAGAATTAGGAAATAGGTCATTCCAGACCAAGAGAAACCTAGACAGATAACCAGATGCTCACTTAGGGGAGGTGAGCCTTTGGAGATGATGTGGAATGCAGCTGCAGGCAGCAGGAGCAAGTCTTATCTAATCAAGCAGTGCATTATCCTGGGAGAATGTTCAGAAGAGGCAAACGAGTGATAGTCTGAGTCAAGGATGACCCACTTCAGGTTCTGGTAGGAGACAGAACAGAGTGTCTAGGACATGATGGGGTAAGTATGCTAAAATCCTGTGTGTTTATGACACACAGGTGTGGGTCATAAACAGGTCTGGCAGCAGGTAGTAAGGCACTGGATTCTAAGCTGGAGATTCTGGGTCAGGGTTCCCAGAAACTCCTAGAAAGACAGTAACAGTAATCCTTAGGAAGTGGGAATCATTTAGAACAAGCCAACCTTACTGGAAGAATATTTGATTTTATGGATGTCTTGGTGTCCCCATAGCAGATGAAAAGTTGTAAGCTCTTGGACCCACACTGCCTTGGTTTGATCTCTGCTCCTATAATTCCTGACTGTATGACCTTCGGCAAGTTACTTGCCCTTTCTGTGTCTTCAACTGTAAAATGGAGCCAACATCCCCTATCACACGCATTTTCTGTAAGGACTAAGAGTTAAGAAATATAAAGCTCTTAGGATGATAAATAATAAATATTAATTATTGTCTTAGTCTGTTCTGTGTTGCTACAACAGAATACCACAGAATGGGTAATTTATTAAAGAAAGAGATTTATTTCTTATGGTTCTGGAGGCTAGGCAGTTCAAGATCGAGGGGCCTCATCTGGTGAGGGCCTTCTTGCTGTGTCATAACATGGCAGAAGACATCACATGGCAAAAGACCAAGAATGGGCCAAACTTGCTTTTATAGTAAACCCGCTCTTGTGATAACAAACCCACTCTCATGATAACAACATTAATCCATTCATGAGAGCAGAGCTCTCATGATTAATCACCTGTTAGAGGTCTCACCTCTCAACACTGTTGCATTGGGGTTAAGTTTTCAACAGAGGATCTTTGGAGGACACTTTCAAACCCTAGCAATTATTGGAGCTAAAATATGAATGCTTTCTCCAATTCCAAAATGGACAAGGCTTACCTAGATATATTAGTTAAGGTAGGCCAACTGCTGTATCAAATAGATACTCAGATATATAATGGTTCCAACACAAATAGAAGCTCATTTCTAGGTCATCTAACAGTATGAGTAGGTGAATTCACTGGAGGAGTAGTCCTCTGCTACACCATCATTCAGGCTCATGGAGCTCTACCCTTTTCCTTGTGTGGGGTCCTTCCTTGGTCATGCTAGGCATCTATCTATGTCCCAACCAGCTAAAAGGAGAAACTGGCATGAAGGAATGTGTGTGGGATGTTGTTAATAGACCTGGCCTGAAAGTGGGGACTAATCACTTTCTTTCATGGCAAGAACCCAGTTATATGACCTTCCTATTTAAAAAGGTGGCTGAGAAATGGAACATAGCTGTGTCCCACATAGAAGAGAAAAAACATGAATTGTACTTCATAGCTGGCAATCTCTGCCAGAGTTAAGGATGAAGAAAAACTACATTGTTTTTCCACATTCCATCCCAGCAGGAAATCATCCCATATCCACTGATTTATCAGGAAAGATAGGCCAAGCCATTCTTACTTTGTATTGCTACTCTGAATGTGGAGAGAGTTATTTTGCAAGATCCCCTTTTCTATTCTCCTTGCAAACTCTTGGTGTCCCATGCTTTTGTAAGCAATGGAAGAGCTTGGTCCCACCTGCCATCTTGGTGCTTTGATTCATCCTCCAGGAAAGCAGAAGAGTAAATTCAAGAAACTACATCCTATGAATTGGGTGGAGGAAAGAAACAATGTTCCAAATCAAAGGGAATGTAAGTTAATAGATAAGAAAACACATCTAGAAGAAAAACAGGGAAGAAATACAAATTAGAGCAACTTCTATTCCAAATCCATGGTAGTAAAGGAGGAATCCAGAATATGTCGAAATTCTAACTGAAGCCGTCCAGTATTTTCTAAAGAAGGGTTACATCCTTGACTAAAAGCCTGTATTGTTTTCCATCAGCAGGTCAAAGGATGGGCTTCAGAAACTCTAAGACTTCCTAAAATTATATGAGTAATATTGAGTGGGGTGTTGTATTTCATTTTTTGTTTTTTGAAGGTTCAGGGCTTTTAAGAGGATCCTAAAGATATTTATGGCCCATTGACTTTACTGAAATGAATTTCCCAGCATGTCAGTCCTGAGAGAACAAGACAGAGATCCAGGGACTGTAACAATATGAGAGCTCTGGAGGGCAGCCCCCTCATTAGTTTAATGGGAGGACCTGAGGTGCAGCAAAGCTGAGGCTTTATCAGATGCTCTCTAAGGTGCCTTCCAGTTTTATGATCAACAAGAACATTGACTGATTACTCAGTCACCAGAGCTGAGAGCCTGAGGCTCCTCTAAGTCTTTTTGACCAGTGAGTTCTTGCCTTCAAGTCGGGAGAAACTCTCAGATGAAAGTCAAGTGGTTGGCAGTGTACTGAAGAGAGCCAGTGGTCTGTGAGATAACTTGGTTTTAGGTAATTTTAAAGGTAAAAACAAAAGCTAATGATGGTAATTTGAGGCAATTGACTTTTAGGATCACAGGGTTCCACCATGCTTTCTGCTCTTCGTTGGAACTTTGGGAATCTCATTTAATAAGTGGTACCTCTCTTCTCTGCCCAGATGATGTGTTTGAGCCCACTGAGGCTGAGAAGCCAGGCAGATGAAGATTATAAAGTACACTTGAATAATGATAGAATTCTTACTGATGGTGATTTCAGTGTGCAGCAACAATAGTTTTTTTTTTTTTTAATACCAAGTCCCCTAATCTTTATAGCAAGATTAGGCATTCCAGCTCAGTCATAGCAGCCTGGAAATATTGCAGACTTTGCTCTGCAGAGGCAGAAGTTTTGCTGCTCATTGCTCCTCTTTGTAGGGAGAAGATACTCATCAGAAAAGGGAAGGGGTTGTGGCCCCATGCGCAGTCCCCAAAATCAGACAAGCTTTTTCTCCCAAGAGGTGAGATTAAGACTGGAGAGCTCTCTGCATTAGACCTGTTACTCCAATAAGGTGTCCCTGTAGTTGGAAGCCTGAAACAGTGCAAAGAGGAAGGGGTCCATCACAAGTCTATTCATGTCCACATAGGCAAGCAGTTGCCAGCTACACTCAGAATCATATAGTTCCTTCCTCTGAGACCAGGAGTAGGGAGGCTTGACCCCTAGCTTAACTGGTGATAAAGGATTAGCAGCTAGGCATACTGGTTCTTGAGGGATGCTGACCCTGTTTGGAGAGGGCTTATCCAGATTTGTCCCTTTGGTTTTAGCCATTAGGTACTCCTAAGTAGACCCAGGCACCAATGAAGAAGTGATGCTGGCTGTCAGGAGATGAGGTTCTTGTACTGGTTGTCCAGTGACCAGACTCTGTTTATTGTGTTTGATTCTTCCTTTGCTGTTTTTGAAATATCGTAATCATTCTTTAACCATCGTCCTATTTATATAGAGGAGAACAATGGAGGAGCGTTGTATTCCATTCCCGAGGAAGTGGTTTTCCCAAATTTTTATAATAAAATTTTATTTGAGAGTAATTTTAGATGTACAGAAAAGTTGCAAAAATAGTGTAGAGAATTCCCATATATCCTTCACTCAGTTTTTCCTCCTGTTGGCATCGTATGGAACCAGGGTACCTTGGCAAAAAATAAGAAATTAACAGTGACACAAATTATTAACTAAACTACAGACTTTGTTTGGATTTTACCAGCTTTTCCACTAATGCACATTTTACTGTCTCAGGATTCACTCTGCGATACCAAACCAGTCTTACTTAAGGGCAGTGGAACTACCGTGGTCAAAGCAGGGGTGAGGGGATGGATCCCCCATTGCCCACAGTCTCTCCTTTGATACCCTATGCCCTCGATGCACCCTTAGGAGCCTCCAGGATTCCATGGTTCAATTTTCTGCAACAGAGATAGGTGGGCTATAAGACCCCCTCCTGCAAAACCAGTCCCAGAGGTGCTGAGAAACCCTATTTTGTGAGCAAATTATAACTCCAGATTCTTACAAGAATCTTTTAGAACTGTGCAGTCTGGGGCAGCCATCTTCATATAGCAAGTGGACAGGGCTGGAGTTACTGTTCTCTGCTGGAGTTTAGGAGTCTAGAGGAAGGTATGGGATCTTCTTAAATTCCCAGCCCTAAACCATGCGTTTGTTCTCTTCTTCAGCTTTGGGAGAGGGTGCTTTGTGCTAATCAGGAGACGTGGCCACAGACTGGAGAGACTTCCAAGTGGGGCTCAGAGCTTTAGTTACCTGAGCATCTGCTGTAGGACTGGGTGTCGTGATATGCACATCTCAGGTGAATTTTGAAAAACAACTTAAATGCTAAGACCTATTAAGTTGTACAGAGCTGCTGAGGGAATGAACACAGAAGGAGGTGTGTGGGATACATTTATGCTAATTATAAGTATTACAACCTTATTTCCTTGATTAAAGCCAGTGGATCTGCACACTAATTATCTACAAAATATCAGTCACTTTGGAATACAAAAGTCTGTTGAGGGACAGGGCTGAGATTTAGGACATCTTGGTCTCAGTGTCAGTTCTGTGTCCAGGTTCCAAATCAGAGATTTCACTTTCATCTCTAAAATCTGGAGTTTGGATTCCAGCCATATGATCTCTTTGGGGTTTTGCCTTCTGTTGAACTAAGTTCTGTGTGTAATAATAAGTGAGAAGAAGACTTGATTTTTTTAGGATAGGAGGGGGACATGGCCAAAGGTAGAATAATAACGTCAAAGTTGTCTTAACCAGTCTGTACTGTTGCTTTGACCCTAGACCATAGCTCTTCCACATCTCAGCCCCGTTTTTTCCTTCCTGATAAAATAAAAAAACAAACTCCAGTTTTGAAGCAGACTCTTCTACATTACCTGGATCTAGTTTAGTGACTGAAGTTTAATTTCTGCTCCACCCTCTTCTTCTTCTTTGAGATATTGAGGATAATTGTCCAAGATTCACCCTGGTGGGTAGAAGAATTACCTGAACAGAATTTCTTTGTATTTTTCCAAGGATGAGGATTATCTAATTATTGCTATCATCTTTGCACTCCTATACCTCCACCCTTTCTAGAGCATTTTATACTTTATTTCAATATGGTGGTAATGTTGGGGACATCTACCTGCAACTCAGGTATTCTGAAAAGTATAGAACTGAATACAGAAAAGAATCTGGTATTTTCCACCCTGGGACACTCCGGCAATCTGGAGAGAAGATGACGTGGAGAGGGCATGATGACCAGGAGGTTGAGGTGCAAAGAACCGGGCTCTAACAATGAAGTGATGAAGTTATTTTGTGAATTCTCCCTGCAGTGGCCTGAGGATATTAGTCCTGGGAAGTGCCCTCCCATTTTTGTTTTTGGGCTCTTGGCAGCCAGTGACAAATGTGGGAACTAGAATGCAGGAGTAGAAGCCAAGAAGCCTAGATTCAGTCTCTCTGCCATGACTCCTGACATGGAACAGATCCCTTTCTTGCCCAGGACCTGAGTTTCTCATTTGTAAAGTGGACATTTCTCATCTTTCTTCTACACTGTGTGAGGCTTTTCATCTTTTCACAAGTACTGGCCACACCAATAGCATTATTGTCTGCCACTGCATGGAAACTAGGTTGAGAGTTTGTGGGATGTACTCAAGTTTCCTTTTTAGATACATCCATGGCTTTACTGCTTTTTTTCCTGGACTGGGACTGAAAGAACTGAGTCCCAGTTCAGTCACTCGGTTTCTTTGATGACATTGTCTTTAGATCAGTGTTCTTAACCTCAACTCTAGTTAACACTTCCCTCTCATGAGGTTAAATTAGATGCTTAGTTTCCAAACACATTTGCACATTTGCTAACCCTGTCCATGTTGGTTTATTTCCTACCCTCATACCACATTCCCTAGCCATTCGCAAGATCCATGTGTGAGGGATGGGATTCAATTCAATTCCTTGTCCATGTGCTAAGATGAATAGAACACAAGGAAATAAAAATCTCATAGGGAATATAAGAACAGATAAAAATGTGTTGCTCTATCATAAGCCAAAGGGAGGCAAATTGTATAAAAGGCAGTTAAGAATGTCTAAAGCTTATCTAAGTAGAGGAATGGCATGGGTCTTGAGGGGTTGGTTGGCAGTCTGGATTAAATTTTAGGAAGATATCTCCATCAGAGAGGTTAGCATGAGCAAAGTCATGGAGGAAGCTTGGAGGTAAGGAAACCAGAAGAATGATCTAGAACGGTGTGTGATTCAACTGGCCGAAACTAAGGATCTATGGAAGATGCATGGAAAGAAATGTTGGTAAAGGAAAGACCACCATGGCAGCTTTTGAAAGGCCAACTATTTTGGCTTAGGTAGTCAATGGACAGTCACAGAGGATTTGTCATCTGTTGAGGTGTGAATCAGGTCATGTGTAAGGACAATTCATAAGGCAGTGGCATGTGGGATAGATTGCTGGAAACTAAGACCATAAAGGCAGGCCATTGCACTGGCCCAGGAAAGAGGCAGTGAGATCCTGTGCCACAGTGGTAGCCATAGAGTATGGAAGAGAAGCCATTAGAATCCATGGGCTCAGGACTACGAACTGGAGACTGGCTGGTCCCACAGGCTCAAAGCCACTTGCAGTTTGTAAGGGGCAACTATGAAAACAAACAAACAAATACAAAACAAAAAAAAAACACAAAAAAACAGTGAAATGGAGGGTCAGGATGTGTCTTCATCCATTTTGAGGTGCTATAAAAAACACTTGTGGCTATGTAATTTATAAAGAAAAGAGATTTGATTGGCTCATATCTCTGAAGACTGTGCAAGAAGCATGGTGCCAGCATCTGCTTCTGGTAAGGACCTCAGGAAGCTTCCAATCATGGCAAAGGAGGAGCAGGAGTGTCACATGGTGAGGGAGGGAGCAAGAGAGAGAGGAAGGAGTGGTGCCAGACTCTTTAATGACTAGATCTCATGGGAACTAAGATGAATAACTCACTTACTACCTGGAGAATGGCACCAGGCCATTCCCTCAGGGATCCACCCCCATGATTCAAACGCCTCTCACCAGGCCCCACCTCCAACACTGGGGATCAGATTTCCACATGAGATTTGGAGGTGACAAATACCTAAATAAACCAGGATGGATTTTTAAATTGCATCTTTTAGGCCACCAAGTCCATTCTGCATCCTTAAAGTGTTAGAAACAACGGAGCAGATGCCAAATCATTCAATTTTAAAGAAATATATAGCTGGAAGGAGCCTTAAATGTCATCTATTTCACCCTTGAGGGACCAGGCAGAATAGCATCAAAATCATCCCAGACAGATGGTTTGCTCACTCTATTCCAGTGCATCTTCTGGGATTCCACAGGTTTCCTTCCTTATTCCTTTCAGCTGTGGGAGAGGGAAGCTATTTTCAGTGAGAGATTTGTCTTTTTCTTTCTAATTATTAACATTCTTTAGAAGTGGGAAGTTCTCAGTTGTGTCTAGCGAGAATCCTACCTGCTACAAGGTAAGTATGTTTCATCCTATGTCCTTAGTGGAGATAAATGTGGTTTATGTTATAAAACAGACATTATAAGACTCAGAAAAACTAAGAAGAACCTCAATGTGACCAAAATGGCCCTGTGGCCAGGTGCGGTGGTTTGTATCTGTAATCCCAGCACTTTGGGTGGCCCAGGCGGGGGGATCACTTGAGGTTAGGAGCTCGAGACCAGCTTGGCCAACATGGCAAAACCTTGTCTCTACTGAAAATATGAAAAATTAGCTGGGCATGGTGGTGCATACCTGTAGTCCCACATGCTTGGGGAGGCTGAGGCAGGAGAATCACTTGAACCCAGAAGGCAGAGGTTGCAGTGAGCCGAGATCACACCACCGCACTCCACCCTGAGTGATAGAGTGAGACTCTGTCTAAAAAAAAAAAAAGCCTTGTGCTTTTCATAGGTAATTGGTTATATTTTATGCATTGTTTGTATCTTGACTGGTGGGAAACCAGTGGAATAAAAATATTTAGCCCCCTAATCCTGCCAAAAAATAATAACCTATTTCTGAGGGTGGTTTCTAGTTATCTCCTAAACTTAGTCTCTTCTCTCTGCAGTTTAGAAATCCAGTTGTTTTCTTCTCTCATTGAAGGTTGTGCAGGCATGAGGACTGATACTGGGGAAAAAAGACGGGGAAGATGCCCCATAAGAAAATTCTGAGACGTTGAAGCATGCTTATATTGGATTCTGTCCTCGGGAAAGGAGAGGAAAAGGCTGAAGGAGACCATTGAATCTGGTGTTGAGTCATTCACGTCTCTCTACTCCTGTGGAGGGCCCTTACGGATGTGTCATAACAGGATCTCCTTTTCCTTCCTCAAGTGCAAAAGGCCTTTTTTTTTTTTTTCCTGAGACAAACTGAATATATAACATAAAAAGATACATAAATTTCCATACAGATATCTTCTTTACTAGCTGTAATTAAGATATTTGCAAGTAAAGAGAATGTTGTGTTCCCTTGACTTCCTCCTGGTAGGGAATTGTATTTCTCTCATAATCCTCATAGCCCAAGATTTTGTGATCTGTCAGTGTCTAAACGGAAGGAGGAGGAGGAGGAGGAATCAGAAGACTGGGTCAATACAAAGCATCTGAAATTCAGAACTTCAAACACAGTTTTTACTCTCGGTTGTTTTTTTCTAGGCTTTGCTAATCCCAAAGAGCAAAGTTGGAGGTAGGAAAGTTGATAGCCCAAGAGCAGATGGGCCGAGCACCCACTGACATTGCAGTCAGGCAGATATTCAATTGAATCACTGAGCTTCTGCTGAGAGCTATTTGGCCTTAGGAAATTTACTTAAATTCACTAAGACTTAGATTCCTCATCTGAAAAAAAAACAATTTCTTCTTTTGTGCACATTAAATAAGATAAGTATTCAAATTGCCAGTACCCATTAGGCACCCAATAGATGGCTATTATTCTATGTAAAAGAATAAGGTAGAAATTATATATCAGAAATTTTAAACCATTTTAAGTTACAAGCCAAGGTTTTCCCTATGATGGATCTTTATTGCTGGATACTAAATTTAGAGAGGAGAAGAACCTACTCAAGAGAATTTAGGGAAATTTAAAATAAAAAAAGCCACCCACTCCTCCAGGACTGGTTTAGACATTTGAGTTGATCTGTTGGAAGCCCAGGAGGAAAGAGAAAACACTTTTAGGCATCTGCAGGAAGAGCTTTTCTATTGTGGAGTTAGTAGCTACAACCAGGAGCTAATTTTTGTAACTGTGGACCATGAATTCTGCAGTAGACAAAGGTCTTCAGAATTAAAACCTCCTTCTCCAGATGTCCTTAGTGTGTGCTGTCCCTCATCATCCCAGAGGGAGAGCTTAGGGTGATGCACCTGTCCTGGAGCCTTGGGGATAGAGAAAAGACTGGCTTAAGTCCAGCTCTACCTCCTTTCTCCTTTCATTGGCTATATGATGGTTACTGCTTATTATTATGCATAGCATGAAATATGCAAGTGTATATGCATATGCATAATGGATGTGCAAGTTCTTTGTAAACTGTTGGTTTGAGTGCTGGTGGTTTTGTCACCACCACCACCACCATCACCACCCCCATCACCAGCATCATCACCAACACCATCACCACCACCACCATCACCATCATCACCATCACCAACGCCACCATCACCAACATCATTACCAACACCACCAACACCATCACCAACACCATAGCCACCGCTGTTATCACCATTATAGTCTGTGCTTAGTAAATAACCATGTACACCCTGGAAAAATAAATTGAATCCATCAATGTTCCAAAGTTGACTGGTAGGTGGTGGTCTGTACTCCAGCTCTCCAACTCTGCCAATCATCACGACAATCTTGGTTGCCTTCCTCCATTGAGTCATGCTTTCCAGCCTCTTCAGCCAGCTTGGAACTTTGATTTGCAGCCCGGTTTGTTCTTGTAGTTGGTCATTTCCTTACCCAGTGGGTCAATCCCCAACTTCCTGATCTTTGTATTTATTTTTTCACATCCTGAGACACTTGGGTACATGTTTGTTCCATACCTCAATAAAGCATAAGTTCCCTTGAAGGCAAAGGAGCTCACCCACGTTTAGCACAGTGATTTCTACATTAAAAATGCTTAATAAAAGTTACTTAATTAAAAAATACATAATACTATATTAGATGTTTGTAATGGGAAAAGAGTAATGTCCCCACTTGCCTAAATCTTCTTACATGAATCCTCATTGGTTCCCACTCACTGGGCACCAGTGGTCAGTATGTGGGGACTCTGAGTATGCGTATTTGAAAGATGCACTGGTATCACCAAGGGAAAGCCAGCTGGATCTGATTCCCTGCCAATGGCCCTGACATCTGACATCTGCTTATCAGTGCAGAGGACTGGAGAAGGTCTCACAATAATTAAAATACCCATAAGAATGGAGTTAGCACCAAAAGGAAATTTATTATTGCACACAGAGAATCACATTATTCAAAGGCCATAGCATCAAAGCATTTGTTCTCAGTGAGCTAGTCCATGTGGGAAGCTGGATCATAATGTGAAAGTTGCTTAAAGAGGAAGAAATCAGGGCAAGGATGTTAGAAGAGTCAAATAATCAACGACATCCAGCTAAGAAAGCCTAACAACAGGGTTCCTGGCTTCTCAGCAGGTTCAGAAATACTCCATGTCTTTTGCCTAAATCCTCCTCTCTCCCTTGTCCAGAGCCAGGAAGGGATGAACATCTCCACCATCCAGTTCCAAGGCTCATTCTTTCCCAGGCCTCCAGGATCAGCCAGTGCCCCATCTGAGAGATACATTATTTCTTCATCTGTATCAATCAGGGCACAATGCAGCCATGATAGCCTAAGAGCCACTCAAGATTTTTCAGACAACCTTGGATATACATCCATGTTTTCATTCATTTTCTGCTGATCGTAAAGAGGCCAATTGTATTTTCTTCATTTTCAAATGTTTGGGAGCCACTTTATTACAGCCCCTAATGCTTCCCATGTCACTGAATTGCTTTCACACCTAAAAATGAGTCCTTTTGTTGCTTGCAAATCTTATTGCCTTGATACCTAGTATTACATGCCCCAGGGAGGGTACATATTAATAGATTTCAAGTGCCTGTTCTGATTGACTGGTGATTGCCCAGAGTGGAGTGATGAGAAGAATTTGGTGGTTGCATCTAGGATCAGTGAAAAAGTGGTGATCAGCTGGTGACATCTGCCATGAAAGTAGAAAAGAGGATTGGTGGCACTTGTGTCCTGTTCTGACACATGTCATCCTGAGCAGTGCTCTCAATTCAGGGATTCTGCTGGACCCTGTTAGGCATGCTCTAACCTTGGATTCACACAAGTGGAGGGATTCTAATGTGACATAGATATTGAGTTTATTGAGTGCACCTGTGTTGAAGGATCATATTCAGAGAAAGGGGTTTGCCAGGCGGATCTGCTTTACTGGGGCTAATTTCCCCATCACATAAATGAGACTAGCATCCCCAAATTCTGAATTCTCTTCTACTGGCCTTTCCCTCACATTTCAACTAAATAGTTGGATTTTTTCTTCTTTTCTTACAACTTGTATATAGCAAAAGTGCCTTGTTTCTGGGTAGATTTGATTCCCCTTTACACACTGCCAAGGTGTTTAGTAGTCTAGATACAGCTTTCCCTGCCAGCTCTATGCCATCATCTCTGAGCCAACTTTTATCAATGTAGCAGCAGGATCTTGAAGCATATATATATATATATATATATATATATATATATATATATATTTTTTTTTACTTTTTGAAAAGTTGAACAGCCCAAGATCAGGGTTTGCCGCTAGAGTTCTGCTCCCAAGCAGACATTGATTCAATTATCAACATTCTCTGGATATGGTCTATGCATTTTTATTACTCCACCCAACTGTTTTGTAAGTATTCTATGAGAGACCTTGATAAACGTCTGGATGAAATTTGGGTAAGCATCTACACTGGCAATCTTGTGAAATCCTGACTAGAAATGAAGTTGGAGGTCATCTTTCAAACCCACTTATTTGACAGGTGAATACATTGAATGCCAGCCAGAGAGAGAGAGAGAGAGCAGATGTCCCTCAAGATCACACACCTAGTTAGTGGTAGAGTGAAGACAAGGACATTCTTCTCCCTTCCTGTGAATTCAGTGCTCCTCTCTAACCACCATCAAAGTGCTATGAGGTCAATGGGCTGGCATGATTCTCCCTATTTACAGACAAGTAAATTAAAGCTCAGAGAGATTAGTGATCAATCCCCAGACTGTACAATAAATGAGGGGTGGAATTGGGTTTGGTGTTCTGGTTAAGTTAGGTTTTTCAAGGGATGAGAGTTTACTTGTGAATAGAATGTTTAAAGAGCACACCAATACAGCACAGTCTCCATGAGGTTAAGTAGAAGTGTGAGCTTGTAATAATTGAGTTCCATGATCTATTTTTCTAATAAGGCTTTGTGGCAAGGCCATTCAAGGCAAAGGAGGAAAACAGGATGACCCAAGCCTAGTCAACGCAGCAAGCAAAGATGATTTAATTTAGAGATTTTCGGCTCTCCAATGTAATCTTAAAGCAACCAGCAGCAACGTGATTTGAGGTGATTGTAGTCTGTAAAATGTAACACAGATTCAGTGAAACTGAAGGGCGAGGAAGGAATATTAGAAGCAAGGGAGGTGGTGCTCAGAGTTGAGGAGTATTGTCCTATTGCCTTGAAATGTGTTGCAAGAAGTAATTGTTTTAATGTTTATTGTGAAAATGTATTCTCAAGAACTTTGATTGACACATAATCATTCACAGTAGCTTAGAAGTTCTTTAAGGGCAGTATTCATGCCTTATTTCACTGATTATATAACCCTTGTACCTAGGACTATACATGATATATGGTAGACATTTCATAAATGTTCATTAAATGACATAAACCAGGAGACAGGTGTTCTTCTCAGCGAATGACTGATCTGGGATGATGCTTAAGGACCCTAATTTGGAACAATCAGAGATCACAAAGCCAGGTTTCAGTACAGAGATGTATGCAAGGGTTGTCCTCCATTATTTTGGTGCAATGAGTGGGCTCTGCAATGTGTTCCTCACCCACAGGGGTGGCAAGATTGGAAAACGCTAGAGATAGTTGACACCTGAGGGTGGTGAAGCACAGTGCTGCAGGAAGTTACCCTTATTGTGTGAAAATGGAACAGACCGTCCTACAAGATAGTGGGTTCTCCATCCCCATTGGGTTTCTAGAAAATCCTTAGAACCACATTATACAGATGCCTGTGCTGGACATGAGGTTTCAGAAGATGATCTCAAAGTTTTGCTTTTCTCTAATTCTGAGATCCTAAAAGCCAACTCTACAACAGAGATTGCTTAGATAAGTGCAAAGTGGTAGAGCAATTTAAGGACTCATAATTATGTACGTGCAAGGAACTGTGTCAAGTATATATTTTCATGATGCTATCAAATATTAAGCCAAATTCACCCTCTGCATATCTACACATTCACAGCCTGAATCCTTTCCCACTTCGCTCATACCTCAATACCTGTCACTTGCCCTGTCTCTTGTCTCTCCCTGTGACTGTGTTTATCTTGCTCTGAAGGCTTTCTTGAGGCATTTCTCCCTCCTTTCAACTCTAAAAATCCACAATCTATCCTACATTAAAGAAAAATCTTCATTTGACCTTTCTATCCCTTCTAACTTTGCCTGAATATTGAAATAAGTACTTTTCATCTTCTGTCTTAATTTTTTGGGCTTCTGATCTTACCACTGAATTGAATCTGCAGTTTTGGGGTCACTAATTATCTCTCACGACCAAATTTAAATTTCTTACTTCAAGTCTAACCCTTCCTGAACTATTGTTGAATGACATTATTAATAATTTACCCTTTCCCCTGCACCCCCTGCAACTGCCAGTGATGCATAGTATTCTTGTTGAATGCCTCAGTTATGCTTTGTTCCACAAGTTATAACCATTCCTGGTCATTCTTTCCCTGCTCCATTGGTTTCTCTCCTTCCTCTCATTTTAAGTTTGGGTGCTGCTATTTTAGACATCTGCTTTGCAAACCTCATGCACTCACATGGTTATAACCCCTTTTTACTTTTACACAGAATCTGTTTGAAATTTACATTTGCAGCCTCCACTTCTTCTCTCTTTGATTGCTTAATCTGTAAGCCTCCCCTGGAGAGTTCACTGGAGACTGAAACACGGCATGTTTTAAATAAAACTCACCATGGCCTCCTCCTGCTTCTCTGAGTGCTAGCACCTCAGCAACCGTTAGCATCCGTGAAAACTCTCTTGGGAGCTTCCCAAAGGGGAGCCATTTCTGAACCTGTCTCTTTATCACCAGCCTGCTATGTCTTTCCTTATAGCACCTCAGTGCCACTTTTTCTTTGCACGTTGGCAGGAGCTGCCCGGGTCCATGCCTGGTCAGTCCAAAACCTGAATCCACGCACACACCTTCAGGCTTGGAGCTCTTCCCCCAGGGCTCCTCGAACTTCCTCATCCCTCCTGTGTTTTTGGAGCCTTGTGTGAGTAAATCTTCATTTCACCAAAATATAAATTTCTTGCCCTGGCCTACTGGGTCCTGAAGCCCCTGCCAGTCTCCTTCCTGACCTTCCACAAGAAGCCCCCTTGGCTCCATCCCAGCCAGTCTGTCCCCGGTGGCCCAGCGCCAGTTGCTTATTTCCACCTTTGCATGAGGCCCTCTGTGTTCATTTGTTCGGGCTGCCATAGCAGTGCTCCACAGACTGGGGGCTTCAACAACAGAATCTGATTTTCTCACTGCTCTGGAGGCTGGAAGTTCAAGACCAAGGTGCCAACAGGGTTCATTCATTCAGAGGCCTCGCTCTTTGTCTTGCACATGGCTGCCTGCTCACTGTGTCCCCACATGGTCATCCGTCTGTGTGGTTTGTGTCCTAATCTCTTCTTATAAGGACCCCAGTCCTATTGGATTAGGGCCCACCCTACAGACCCCATTGAACCTTAGTTACCTCATTTAAGGCTCTCTCTCCAAATACAGTCATATTCTGAAGAACTTGGGGTTAGGACTTCCCCATAATGAGCATGTGTTGGGGGGCACACAGTTCAGTCCATCACACCTTCTCTTCCCAACTGCCCATCTGTCCTTTCTTTCATCTCCGTCTTCTTTCTTTCTGTTCGTCCCTCCCTGCCATCAGCACTCAGCAATCCCCATTTCATTGTCTTCACTGGATGGTCTTTTCAGCCTCACCCTATGAGTTTGTGCACAGGGACATGTTACTTCATGAATCTGCCTCTCCTCCAGGTCATTCCAGTGCTGCTTCTCTGCCTCTGACTCAATTGAGAGCAGAGACTGTGTCTCTTGTCTCTTGCACACAGCCCTTGACTTGGAAGCACTTGAGAAATGCCATTGCTAAGTTACTGTGAGTCCCTCCTCATGCACCCCCCTCCTCTCACTTCTCAGGA
This sequence comes from Homo sapiens, assembly GCF_000001405.40. Lineage (NCBI taxonomy): Eukaryota > Metazoa > Chordata > Mammalia > Primates > Hominidae > Homo > Homo sapiens. Next base: position 87,909,264 of record NC_000015.10, on the reverse strand, counting down.
GCCCTTTCAAGGGAAAGGCCTTGCTTAGGAGCTTTTTTCCTGAGTGGTGAGGGGGAACACAAATGTTAACTCCATGGACAGCAAGGAGGAGGAGGGCTGAGGCTCCATGGTGGTGACATTCAGTGAGTTAACCTTTCTAAATCAGGAAGGAAAGGAGAGGGAATCTGGGTAGCCCTAAAAGCAGTGGTGAATTCAGGGATTTTCTGCGGGACACACTAAGAGCAATAATTCTCTCAGAAGCTTTGGAGAAAGCGCTGTTTCTTTGACCTAAGGGGCTGAAAATTCTAGATAGAACCCACTTCCTCTCCAAGCAGTAGGTTGGCTGGGAGGCTCCTGCTGGGAGTAGAACCAAGCTCGTGGAGGGAAGCCCATTGCGTCTTCATGTCCCACAGAGGAAGACAGCTGGGTGTCATGTGCTGGGAGTGGTGTCATGATGTGCTGGTGGAGCCCCGAGTGCCTTGTGTTTCTGGGCGGACTCCAGAGTAAGGGCCTTGAAGGTGGGTTGCTGCGGTCTTCCGCTGTCCTCCCTAATGATGCAGGACAAATGTTTGAGGCCCTGCCCAGGAGAGACACGCCATTCAGTTAAAGATCCCCCTGCTTTCCTCATGCTCCTCCTTTCATCCTTCCATGCTTCCTTCCTCTCCCTTCATCCCTTTTCTTCTCTCTCCCCCTTCCCACTCTCTCCCCTCATTCACTGTCAGGAAGGGCCATGCCAGAAGGGCCCGTTCAGTGTGGTGTGGCAGCGGCAGAGGCTAGCAGCAACGGCAGCTTCCACAGTGAGTCTGGATTTGATTTCTGGGGCCAGGGGGCTGGGCAGGGCAGTCCACACACAGACAGACAGCTTGCAGGCTTTGGAGAGGCACTTCCATGGGCTGGGGCCTGCTTCCAACCTCTTTTTCCTTGCCTCCCACCGTGGAGCATCATTTAACTTCCATGGAAGTTTCCTGCCAAAGCCATTGATGTGCTTGGGATGTCTCATGGGGAGACAGCATGGTGGGGGGTGGCGGGCCATAATCTGCTAAAATTAGGTGCACAGCCGGGAGAGCCGCTGGAGTTCACATGGCTGCCAGGGCTTCTGTCCAGACCTGTGCGTGTGGTGGAGGCTGAAGGCTCTGCATGGACGAGTGGTTTGGCTGCTTTCTTGCATTTCAGGAGGTGTGACCTTGAGTTTTGAGTACACTTTGGGTGCTTACACTCCATAGGAGACTCCCTGTAAGGAAATAAGAATGCCCTAATTGCACAGAGTAGAGGGTCTAAGAACTGGAGGTCTCCCCATTGACCTCAGATGAAGCGTGGTCTAACAGACCTGATGCTCAGGATGGTCACTACAGATCCTCTGTGACTGAGTCAGATCCCCCAGTGCTTGCAGGGAGGCTTTTGCCCTCCCCATTTTAATTTCTATGGTAATTTCTGGCAGGGAGATGGACATACTGCAGAGTCAGTCGAAGTTCCATCTGTCTTACCTTGATCATCAGACTGTATTGGATGACTTCCTTCCACTTTTTGCTTGGGGGCTTTTTTCTTCTATTTGGGAAACAGTTCACTTGGGAAAACAGAACCACAGAATTCACCTACTCAGCCTTAAAGATCCATCCCAGACTAAGAAGACACAAGTTCTGCTTGCCATCTTGAGAGGCTTTCCACAGGCCAGAGGCTGCTTCCTAACACTGACAGGGCGTGCGGTAGTTAAGTCAGTTTTGAAGTGAGAAGCTTCTGGTTTCTAATATACAGTATTATCCTGATACTGCAGTCTTATGGGCAGGTGCATGGGAAGGAAGGCTTTTACAGTTTCATTCATTTCTCTCATAATTTGGTTAGGGAGGTAAATTAAGCATAACCTCCCAGGTTCTCTCAGGATCAGTTTTATAGGTTTCTCTTCTTGACACTGCTCCTAATAACAGCATGAAAGTTTAAGATTTTCAGTACTAACAAGTGTGTATAGCTAGGGTATTTCAGAACAAACATGCTTGGCAGCCTTATGAGAATTTTGCAAGCAGAACCATTATAGAAGATTAATCAATCTCTTCTCATGCTTTTAAAATATTGTATGTATTTCAGTCGCATCGGGTTCAAACTCTTGGTTTTAGGAACTGACAGGTTGCATTAAAATATCAAATTGGTCAAATTTATTAATTAATTTCAACAAACATTTAATATTAATCAACTGTGTATGTTTGATTGTCTAAAGTTGGACCCTTCTGAGAATGAAAAGGGAAGTTATTAATAATTAAATAGGAGCTACAGGCATAAATTTAGACCTTTCTTGGTAAATTGGGGCATACAGTCATTTTATCCATGTATCCTGAGTTATTGTTGGTGCCAGTGATACAACTGTGAGTAAAACAGACAAAAATCGCTGCCCTTACTGAGGGAGATAAAAAAATAAAGATAAAGTAAAGTATATAGCAAATTAAGAGTGATAGGTTCTTAAGAGAGAAGGAAAGCAGAGAGGAGAAAAAGAAGTACTTGGTGGTAGTAATAGTGGTGGTGTTGGTGGTGGTAGTTAGTGTTGTGTGTGTGTGTAGTTTAGGTAGGGACGTCAAAGCAATCGCATTGCTTAAAGAATACGAAATATTTTAGTTTATTTAGTTTCTCCAAGGAGGGCTTTCATGACTCAGCTAAAACTTACTGTATGGATGAAATCGTATCTGAAAATTCTGAGTCCAAATAAAGAAATACTCACAAACTTCATAATGACAGAAAGCAAAGAGAGAAAACCAGGTGGCTGTGGCACTGGAAGGATACCTTGTCTGCTTGATGGTCAGCACGGGTTTCATCTCCCTCTGACACCACTGAGACGGCATCAGAAAGTGAACATGGCTGTGGATTCATCTATTTGGGGAGCATCTTTGTAGAAAGTCCCTTAATCTCTGACTTGTGCTGGCCATTCAGAGCATCTTAAGGCCCTTCCTTCTCCCATCTGCCTTTCTGTGGGGTAACGGAAGGGCAGCTTACAGCTGCTGAACACCTGCTCTAGCCAGGCACCTTGATAGGGGCTTTGAGTAAATTAATTTGTTTAATTTATTCTGTTCTCATGAAGACATTATTATAGTTCCACTTTGAGGATGAGAACACTGATGTTTAAGCTCAGAAATAGAAAATAGTGGAGCCAGGATTTAAATCCAGGTTGAATTATGTCTGAAATTCTGCCTTTATCAGTTAGCCTCAGCATCTTTCCACAGATACCAGTTGGCAGGAAGTGGAAGTAAGAAAAGGACTCACTGGGTGACCCGAATGTCCCATGTGTGGGCTGATTTGCATGGCTGGATCAGGAGCAGTAGATGTGTTGGGGTGGTTGTCCATGTCTTTGCTGATTGCGCATGAAGGCACAGCAACTTCTGCTGCTTTGTTTTTTGAGTGTTGTCACTGGAAATGGGGATGGGCATGGGAAATTTTGGGGGCATGAGAGTAAATCTTCCTGTGTGGCTTCCATCCTCGGCTGAGGTGGAGGCTTAACTTCAGTGAGTCAGTGTTCCTGGGGCTCACGCACGTTGGAAGGAGGGACCATGCATGGTGTCTATGTATAGATAATAGAGGTGGGGAGAATGCATGCAGAGTGCTGAGACTGAACAAAGGTTTTTCGACAGGGGTTTGAGCGAAGAGTTGAGTTTGAAGATAATCCTAAATTTCCTGTCTGTCTTTTGTGAATGGAATCCACAGACTGACCTCATCCAGTCTTAGGATGCTATTAGCAAGAAACAGGATGTCTCTGGACCACATCTCAGATATGATGGTTATATTTAACCTAAATATCACTGTGTAATGTTGCATTTATTTGTGGTATACTTTCATATATTTCCCAGAAAACAAATAGGTAACCTGTTGTTTTACGCATAATATGGTAACCTCCTGATAAGGTTATGTTTCAAGCAAATCACCATTTAGATGCGGAAGAGAGACCTGCTACAACAAAGTAAAGAATTACTTTGGGATGCCAATAACCCTCTCCAGTTTTCTTTTTGTGATAAAGTAGAAGATTTTCTACCTGTGATGCTATACTTTCCTTGGAGTTTTAGAGCATATTTATCCCAGGGTCTCTATGCATGTCAAGACAATGTTTCTTAGTTTCACAACATGTGTCATAGGGGTAGAGAGAAGCCATACTCTTGTCATTTGGCAAGGATTTTCTTTTTCATTACATTGTTACCATCACAGAAATATACTCCAAGCACTGGGATGTCCCTCGCTGTGGTCTTCTAACTATTGGGTAGGGTTACCTCATCAAGTTTTGGTTCTTTACTGCTTTTAGGGACCCTTGTCTAGTTTCCCCCGTCATTTTGATACTTGAGGGCTGAGGAGGAAAGCATCATTCATCTTCCTCCATAGGATACTCCACTTTCACTTATCTGAGTTCTCCCTCTGGTAGAAACAAATAAGCAAGCAAATTAGCTTTTCTTCTAAAATATTAACGCATCTCAACACAGTTGGCTTCTCTCTTCTGCATATGTGTGCTCTGTGGAGTCCCAGCTGGGAATCAGGGTAAAGATGAGAAGTGTCTGGTTATATTTCAAACTGACAAGGATAGTCATTCTTTTTCTGGTTACATATGGGCCGCCCTGCCACTCACACATACAAGATATGTCTTAATTCCAGAAGGGCTTAGCTGAAGCTTAAAAGAATAATACCCATGCCTTAGACACAAGTCTGCAAGGGCACCTGGTCATGAGTGTGCCTCGGTCTGGGAATCTGCTTAGAGACTTGGTCATAGATGCATCCTTTACAGCAGTACGCCGGGATTTCAGGGGTGAGATGAACCTAAGAAAAAAGATTCAGAGAGATCCCAAAGGCCCATATTAAAAGGCTTATTGTGGCTGGGCGTGGTGGCTCACGCCTGTAATCCCAGCACTTTGGGAGGCCGAGGCGGATGGATCATGAGGTCAGGAGATCAAGACCATCTTGTCCAACATGGTGAAACCCCGTCTCTACTAAAATAAAATAAAAAAAAAATTAGCCGGGCGTGGTGGCATGTGCCTGTAATCCCAGCTACTTGGGAGGCTGAGGCAGGAGAAGCACTTGAACCCCGGAAACTGAGGTTGCAGCGAGCTGAGATTGCGCCACTGCACTCCAGCCTGGCAACAGGGCAAGACTCCGTCTCAAAAAAAAAAAAAAATGCTTATTGTAGTTTCATTCTAGCAGGGCATGTCTTGGTCATAGACAGGTCCTTTAAAGTAGCATGCTGGGATATCTCCCCACCCAAACAAACTTAGTATTTCTAAGGAACCTAAGGACACACACCTGTTTATTTCCATGTCCAGGGTACACAAGGAGAGCATAAGACAAGCTTTGTTCACCCCTCTTGGCATGCGAGTGTTTTCCAGCCATCACTGAGGTTGTGGAGAGGGTCTGGTTGCAGTGAAGATGTCTATAAGCTAGAGATTATTCTAAAACCCACTAGGACTTTCCCAAAGTCAAACACCAATGTAGTTTAATGGTTTTGAAATTGTGGAATGTGGTTTCCCCCCTTTTCATTGCTATCCCAAGTCTTGTGATCCAAGATCATTAAGACTGGCCTTCTGGGGAAAACCAATACAGTCCCCTGTGTAAGATGCCTGTGAATGTACAGGGTATCGCATGTCCTCATTAGTTTAGGGAGTTTGGTTGTCTGTTCTTAGTCCCAGTCCTCTGAGTTCTTAACTGGAGATTTATCCAGAGATAAGAAATCTGCCCATTAAATAGTAATTAATCTTTGAACTCTCAGTTGCCTTAGCATTTTGCTTTCTGATGATCTGAAGAAATATAGTGTCTCAGAGCAGAGCAAGCCCCTAGAACAGGATGATAAAAGGGGCCTGGAATGCAGTGGGGCTCAGGTCTTCAAGGGAAGGGGTTGTAGGAGCTACAGGGAAGATGATGGAGGAGGGGAGGGAATCTTTCTGGTTGTGCCATCCAGGACCACTCACTGAGAATGTTGCCCTAGTCTCGTGATGGGACTTCTTGGTCTGCATCTTATCTTCAAAGCTGGTCAAGTCCCTTTGCTTCCGCAATTCTTTTGGGACAAATGACTCATGAGAAATTCATATGACTACAAGAATTGTGACACCGCCTCCTGTCTGGCGATGATGTGGGTTCTGCTATTTCTAGACTGGTGCCCACCTCTCTTGAGCCTTAGCTGGTTCCTCTGATTAGTGCTGCCTCCTCTCTTCCTGCCACTTGTGGCTAGCCCTAATGGAAAGTAGATCTCCAGGCAGATGCATCCGGCTGAAGAATCCTGGCACCGGGGCAAATGCAGCCCTCCAAGGAAAGCTTTTAGTTCAGACACCGGTCTCAGAGCCCACAATGTGAACTGTGTCCTGTGAGGCTTTATGGCCAGTGAAGCTCTGGCATTTGGGTGCAGACATGTAGGGTGGGGAAGGAGCAAGGGGGAGTCGGGGTGAGAGGAGGCTTATCGTAGTTTCATCCTAGCTGGGCATGTCGGTTTTTACATGGGCCTCTGGGATCTCTCTGAATCTTTTTTCTTTGGTTCATTTCTAGAAATAGACATTGTATTTCTAGAAATAGAAACTAACTTGAGAGTCGAATTTTCTAGTGTTTTCTCAGGATTTTTTCAGCTGTGACAGAAAACTCTCTACCTTAAGCAAAAAGGCAATGTACTGTCTTTATAATAAAATTTTTGTTTTCCAGGTTTAGGAATTATTTCTAGTGTTGGCTTCATTCTAAGACCTAAATAATGTCACCATGTAGAGCCTGTTGCTTCCTCTCTCCCTTCTTCCTTCTCATCTCTACTCTGACTTCTTTCCATAATTTCATCATCATTCTCTGCCTCTCTCTTTGTCTGCCCAAGACCATGATCTTAGAGAAAGAGATGTTAACGGGAAATAGATTTCCAAACAATCAAGGCTAATGTATTTTGAAAATTATGATGACAAATGCTGCCACAGTTGAACACATTATCTGGGACCTAGATGTTCAGTAGTGAAGGCTTGTCCTCGTCAGGGAGGCCTTGCCATCAGGAGCCTAGCTGATGAGGTGAGAAATTATCAGTGCCATTTCTACAAGAGTGGGACGGGACATTATGCAGAGAAAAGCTCCAAGAGAAAGACACAGGAAGCAAAGTCCATGACTGGCTTCTTTTTTCCAATCTGTCTATGGAGGAACATAGATATTTTCTGATGTCATCTTTATGAGTGCTCTCTGGGCTGGTGTAGGTTCCCATCTTACTTCATTGAATCTGCTGATTTAGATATTTCTGAATGAAAATTCCCCTTCAGCTTTTCTGAGTGTTTTATATAAATCACATTTATAGGATTTCTATCACATTGTCCAAAATGTGCCACCCTAACCTATCAATTTACATGCCTTAAAACATTTTTACTAATGAGTCTTTTTTTAATTTAGAATGTATAAGAACTTTAACTTGGTGGTGAATAAGAACTTTGGTTTTGGAATCAGAATAATTTGGGTACAAGACTTGGATTTTTCTATCTCAAGCATTTTTGAATAAGATGCTTAACCTCTTCCTCTCCTTTTTCCCTTCCTCTCTCCCTTTCTCCCCCTCTCCCCCCCTCCCCAACTTTCCTCCTTCCTTTCTTCCTTTCTCAATACAATGCTGTCGATAATAGTAGTTTTCATAGCCAATGCGTTTTAGGAGGATTGAGCGAAGCAGTGCATTTTAATTCATTTAGCATATATCCTAGCACAGTATAAACATGCAATAAGTTGTTCTATATCCATGTTCACTGGGACAAGAACTTAGCCCAACTCAACTCCCAAACTTGGAATGCTGAAAGCATCTCTTTCTACCTCTGTTATGGTGGAGGCCAGAGCTTCAGATAAATTAAGATGAGGGCTCTACCCTTGGGGATTACCTACCCCAGCACTCAGCCTGGCTTGACCTTTTGGGGACCCACTAGGTGACCCTGAGAAAGATACTTCATCCCAGTTTCGTTAGCCTACAAACAAGAAGTCCACCTGCTCAAATTCCCCTTCTATATTTTTTGGAAACAGGAATGTGTGTTAACAGAGGAGGAATGCCTTTGAATAACAACTCTCCAACTGTGATTTCTGGCTTCACATTTAAGACTTTCTTGTAGGTTCATCCTCAGAGCAGTCCTCTCCTGCCTTTTGACCTTGAAGGAGAAGCCAAGAGGCAGGGCTTGTTTATAAAGAGAGATGGAGCAGCCCACAGCTGCAGGCCTCAGATTATGGCCTGGAATCCCAGATGCTGCATGGAGGTACAGCTCCTCCATCTCTTTCATCTGAACCTGCCCTTGGCCTACACCCTTCACTGCCAAGAGGCACCCCAGGACCCAGTTGTAGAGTAGCAGGCTGTGTGGAACGAAGTGGACCTCAGAGCTCTAACCTTCTCACAGGGCCAGGAGGGGCATCCAAAGATTATCCAGTCTCTACTTGACCAAATCATCCCCTTTTGGAACTGGATGATCCCTAAAGGTCAACTAGTCGAAGTCTTTCCCTCACCCTACCAATTATGCAGATGAGAACACAGAAGGCCAGGGGTGAGCCAGGAGGTATGATGCAAACTAAGGCAGGGCCGTGGAGCTCCTGAATTCTGGCCCATGCTCTCCTTCACTGCCTACAGCACACACACACACACACACACACACACACACACACACACACCCTCTGTAAAGTCAGGCTGCTGATGCTGCAGGTGTTAGGAAGGGCCTTGAGTTGAGCTTTCGTTCAGTGTTCTTGATGTCCTGATTCAGATGAGAAAATTATGCTCATGCAATTTTTGAGCAGAGAGGAATCTTAGCAAAACTCTGGTCCAACTATGTCATTATTCCAAGTATGAACATTGAGACCAAAAGAAAACATGGGCTGCCAAGACCACAGGATGGCACACTAGTAGAACTGGGACAAGAACCCAGATGACCTGAGTCTGAATCCAGTGCTCTTTTCACTAAGGTTCCTGGTTTATCTTGGTGCCAGACCTTCCCTCTGCCTGTCCCCATTCCAGGATGCTAAAGATGCCTCTAGGCCTTGCCAGGGCTGTGTGGCTGGGTTAATAGATGCCCCTTTCCTGGCATTTCCCAGGGAAAGGCCCAACTAGAAACCTATGGTGCTTAAAAAGAGTGGTGGTACTTCTTTTTTTGATGAATCACCTTGCAGTTCCCAGAGTGCTTTGACTGCTGTTACCACCCAACCTCAGACTTCCTTGAGAATTTAACGCTGTTATTTTTTCCAAGTTGAATCCCCACTTTTAAATGAAGATAAAGGACTTTATCAACTGTTTCATGTCTGTGGTCCTGCAAGTGATCTATGAGCTCTCTCCTCTCAGCAGCAAGCATCCTTCCTTTAGAATTAAAGGGTCTTTTTTCATGACTCAAAGACAAATCCCATTTTCCATTGGATGAAGAGTACATTCAACTCCCAAGAAAGCTTTAGGTGTGTGAGAAGGCTAATTGTTTCCACCTTCTCCTTGCCCTTATCAAAGCTCCTCCAGCAGCCAGTCAGTGAACAGATGGGAAATTCAGCTCCAGCTCAGAGAAGCTAGATAAGGCAGCCTGTAGCCTGCGAAGGACTTGTATATTCTTTATGTCCTCTCCCATGATGTGCATCCGACTACCCTTTGCCTGGGGATGTGGCCATCAGTAGTAGGTTTCTGCTGTGCTATGTATTGTTTACTGAAGAAATTAAAATATGCAAAGTGTTCCTGGTCCCCCTTTTTGGGCTCCCTCTCCAGCTCCTTCTGGCATTTTCTGTTGGCAGTTAATAAAACAAAAGGGGGGCCCAAAGGCTCGGGTCTCCCTCCAGCTAGAATGGTTAATTTGGAGTGGTTTGGAAGTAGTAGATATTACCTCTAGCTACAGTTGTGCCTTTCTGGCTGATCTGTCCAACCTGCAATGTGTGTCCTGACTGATGGAGTTCGAATGCTTCATGAAAGGGGCAGGGGATTAAGGGCACAGAAATTGAGGGGGTGGGGGAAGGAGAAAGGAGGGGTGGGTCTCCTTTTGCTTATTATAGCAGCACAAACCAGCAAAGACTTATCTTTCCTCAAGACAGCCTTACGTTGAAAGAGCTACAGTCCAAGACACTTGAAAATTACTCCCTAATCCAGCCTAAATCTTTACCATCCCTTACCACTAATTATGCCCATCTACCTGCACTCATAGAAGTTCCAAATCCAATCCCTTACCTTATTTAAATCCTGGACCCAGAGAATACCTCTTGCAAATATTTATAAGATATTTATACAACACTACTGACACCATTACAACTCTTATTCATCCCAATGACTGGGCTGGCACTTGGTAAGCCCCAAGATATGTTAGTAAGTAACAGTTGCAATTAGAGTTGTTATGGTGTTAGTAGTATTGTTCGCTTATAAATATTTGCAAGAAGCGTGCTCTGGGTCCAGGATTTAAATAAGATGAGGGACTGGATTGAAAATGTCTATGTGTGTCAGCCTCCCAAGTAGCTGGGACTACAGGTGCGTGCCACCACACCTGGCTAATTTTTGTATTTTTTTTTTTTTTTTTTTTTTAGTAGAGACAGAGTTTCACTGTGTTGGCCAGGCTGGTCTTGAACTCCAGACCTCAGGTGATTCACCTGCCTTGGCCTCCTGAAGTGCTGGGATTACAGGCGTGAGCCACAGCACCCAGCCTAGAATCCCTGATTCAAGGATCCAATGCCATCATCTTAAAGCTGGTGGGATATTCAATCAATAAGAGATATTATTAATGTCGCTTAAAGGATGACTCAGTGAGCCCATTCCTAGCTAAGTTTGCCTTTTGTGGAAAAAAGTAAAAAGAAGCTTCACACACAGAATATGCAGTCTCTGAGCCTAGTCCACCGTAGAAAACTGCACATTCTAACCAGCCCACCCTTGTCTTCAAAATTCACTTTAGCTGCTCCTCCTGAGTGTCTAAGCCCCGCTTTTGTAAACAGCCTGAATCCAAGGATCCAGACTGGCAGTCACACAGATCTGGCAGCTCCTTTAAACTGCTTCCAGAACTTAGGTGGAACTGCCTTGAACCTACAAAACCCACAAAAAGAAAGACTTGGAGTGCGGCAATAGATTAACTTCTATCTCTGGCTTTACCATGCTGACTGGCTGGCATATCATCCCTGAAGTGGTTTCTCATCCATACATTTGGGATTATTGTCTCATTGTAAGGGTAATTGGGCAGAATGTCTAAGTCCTTAGAAAAAATAGGAAGTGCTGTGTAACACACATGATCATAATCATTGAGAAATTAGCATCTTTCAAGGAAGATTTAGATTCAAAGTATTATGTATGTGCAGGTGTCTTGAAGCCTTGCCATGCCTCTGTTTCACTTACTATCTCATTTAATTTCTGCACATGTTCTGAGTGTGTTATTATTCCCATTTTTATGCACAAGGAAGTCAAGTCTTCCAGAGGTTAAATAAATTCTCTATGGTTGCTTAGCTAGCAAAGAGCATTGGCTGAGTTATACATTATTTCCTTCGTTCTTTTGGATCCTCTATTTCCTTATCCTGTATACACAGGATATGTATATAATTCTGATATGTTATAATTTTTATATTTTTTGGCCTCTAACTATTTAGTAAAGTCAATCTTATTTGAAAGAAATTATCTTATTTTGGCTAAATAAGTCTGAATCTAAACTAGAACCTAACTCTCAGTACCTGAGCTATGCAGGGTCAGATTTTTCAAAATCTAGGATCATTAAAAGGATGTATTCTACCATTGTTTACTTACGAATATGGTATTATAACCTGCATTTGGGGGCTGAGTGGATCCCTTTGAATCTAGTGTGATCCATGGATCTGAGCTTGGTTGAGACCTCCAGCTTTGTTGAGTGACTTGAGCTCTTTTAACATCATCTTAAAATTTGTTTCCACTAGAAGATATTAGTGCAGCCAGGAGGCCTCAGTGGAGCCATTTGCAAAAGGAAATAAGGGCCAAATTATTTTTCAACTCACATCTTTGGAGTTGAAATGTCTGCTCTATTAAAAAATACATTGCTTGGGGGCAGTAAAGGACAATGAGGTGTCAGAAAGAGTGCTAGAATTTAGGCAGGATTAAGAAAGAGGAAAACAAAATAAGTTATAAAAGGCATGTGTTCCTGGGGCTTCCCTCAGAACTTTGCTCCTGGCAGATGCAGCTCTAGGTAAGAGAACTGGGGAGAATCACAATGGGCCTATTTATCCTCTAGGCTCACACTGCTAAACGGCTTGGCTCTCAACTCCTTGTATTTTTGGAAGACTCCAAGGGTTTTTCCTAATCCTGGGGCTAGAGGCTCAGACTGAGACAGCCGTTCCACTGAGATTCTGCTAAATGGATGCTGTTTGCGTAAACTGTCAGAAAGCCCTGCTCTGAGGGAGCAATACTATAATGATGTCTTTGTGAGTTTTCGCTGCATTTTCCCTCCAAAGAATCTCAAGCACCTACTAGACCCGGGGCTGAGATATTCAGTTTGTCTCTAAGAAGCTAGATAATAGTCTGTCCTGCTTTACTGGGAAGAGGAGAGGCAAAAAGAAGGCAAGCAATTCTGACTTAATAAGTCAGAAGTCTGATGTCACTGTAGAAAAGTCATAACCTCTTGTATAAAGCTTTCATCTGTGGGGTTTCCATAACTGGGGCGAGGCCACAGATGGACATGTATCTGTGAGTGCACACTCATGTATTGTAGATCAGAAATCAAAAGGATATCCAAACTAATATATCCCTAAGGCATGCACCCACACAAACTGGGGAGAACACAGAGTTCTACCAGGTGACTCAAAGTCTATATACACCAGGATAAAAAGAAGGAAAACTATAGAACTGTCGATGAATGGAGTCAAACTCTGTAATATATATACATGTATATATTTTTTTCTTTCCTTTCTTTCTTTTTTTTTTTTTTCTTTGAGACAGAATCTCACCCTGTCACCAGGCTGGAGTGCAGTGGTGCGATCTTGGCTCACTGCAACCTCTGCCTCTCAGGTTCAAGCAATTCTCCTGCCTCAGCCTCCTGAGTAGTTGGGACTACAGGTGTGCGCCACCACGCCCAGCTAATTTTTGTATTTTTAGTAGAGACAGGGTTTCACCATATTGGCCGGGATGATCTCTATGTCTTGACCTCATGATTTGCGTGCCTCGGCCTCCCAAAGTGCTGGGATTACAGGCGTGAGCCACTGCACCTGGCCTGTAAAATATTTTAAGAGATTTATTCTGAGCCAAATATGAGTGACCATGGCCATGGCCAGACACAGCCCTCATGAGGTCCTGAGAACATGTGCCCAATGTGGTCGGGGTACCTCTTGGTTTTATATACTTTTAGGGAGGCATGAGACATCAATCAAATACATTTAGGAAATATATTTGTTTGGTTCAGAAAGGCAGGACAAGTCAACGTGGGGAGGTGAGGGTGGGTTCCAGGCTATAGGTATATTTAAACATTTTCTGGTTGACAATTGGTTGAATTTATCTGAAGATCTGGATCAATGGGAAGGAATGTTCAGGTTAAGATAAAGGATTGTGCACATGTACCCTAAAACTTAAAGTATAATAAAAATAAATAAATAAATAAATAAAATAAAATAAAATGAAAAAAAAAAGATAAAGGATTGTGGAGACCAAGTTGTATTGTGCAGAGGAATCTCTCAGAAAGCAGACTTCAGAGAGCGAGCAGGTTGTAAAATGTTTCTTATCAGACCTAAAAGGGTGCCTGGCTCTTAGCTGATTATCTCCCAGATCTGGAAAGAGAGGAAGGAAAACAAAGGGGGAAGGAGATTCTCCATATAATGTGGATTTTTCCCACGAGAGACTTTGCAGGGCAATTTCAAGGTATGGCAAGGAAATATATTTTGGGGTAAAACATTTTGATTTTTTTCCTTGTTATGCCAAAGTCAGATTGGAAAATAAGTCATGATATACAAGGTTAAATAAAACCCATGTGATGAGAATTTGTGGTTTCTAGGGCATACTCCCCAGACCCCTTAGATAGGAATTTGGGCAAGATAAAAAATTCCGAGCTTCATCCTCAGAACCAAAATGTAAACTTCATTCAGAGACTCAATCTGTATATTTCTGATTTGTTTGCCTTTGTGTATGTATGCTATAGTACAGTAGTACATTTACATTAAAAACAATAACCAGACACTGTGGGACTTCAGTTCTGTTTCATTTACTATTCTTAGTGACTTGGACAAGTCATTGCTTTTCTGGCCAAGGTTTCTATGTCTACAAGTAGGCTGGGTAACTTCCAACCCTGTGTGTTTATTAGCTACAGCTTTAGTGTTGAATCTTTCCTTTCAAGCCCTGGGTTCTGAGAAACTTGGATTTGAGGAGCTGGACAAGGTACAGTTACAGGGTAGGGCTGCTCCCCACCCCCACAAAGATATACCAGGAATCCAGATGATATCTGGAGAGAAAGTAGGATGAACCACCAAAGAGATATGCCTAATAAATGATCAGGTGGCTGAGAAGAGAGCCAAAGAACTGGTTCAAAATACAGTGTCCAGTATCCACAACTCAGAATAGTCTTAGACAGTGAGGAGAGAGTAGAGCAGGGGAGGAGGAGGAAAGGTAGGAACTAGGGGAGAGTTTCTGAAGACCAGGCTGCTATTTCTAAGATTCTGGCAGCCTCTTGCATATGTGGGGAAGGAACTATTGAGACATACCAACAGTTGGAGAAGGGGGGCAGTGAGAAAGGTTCATTCCAGGAAGGAGGGCTATATCATTCTGATTAACTAGTTTAAAACCAAAGCATTCTCTTCACTGCTTGGAGACAGAACACATTAGAGGAAGACTTTGGGTCTTTCCTCCTCCATTTAGGCCATTTATTTCTGGAAATGTCCAAGGGAAGTTTCACCAACCCCATACCATCAGGGAATGATCAGGGCAGGACCGACAGGCCCAGGTCTGTATCTATGACTGTACACACGATGCACATGCATTGTCACACACACATGTCCATCTAAACCACCTCCCCACAGTGTATGGATGTGTGTATGTATATTACATGTAGCTAACCCATTATGTGCAGCCATGCAAGTGAATTCCCAAACCCTCTGGACCAAGAGTGCCGATGATTTTAAAGACTGTTATGGTGGCTGCTGGGACTGCTAGTGGGATCATGTTCAAGGTGACTGCTAGCCATAGCTGATGCCGTCCTCAGACAGCCAAGCAAGGTGGAACAGGCCAAGGCCACTGGGGCATGTGGGAAACCAGACTTCCCAGGGAATGACGAAGGCATAGATTTAGTTTTTCATGTTTTCTTAATGCACATAACCACTTTTCTATGTGAATAGACATGGAATCAAGAAAGATTAAATTTTAATAAATAAAAAAATGGCACTTACCATAAATGACACCCTTTATGACAATCTCCTGATAGACCATTTATCATTAACATATGTTGCCAAGGTTTTACCACTCTTCAGAGTTGTCTCCTCCAAAGTAGATGAGTTGCTTTCTCATGTACTTCATGACTCAGCCCATGCAGATTAGGGAATACAGAGGAAGCTTGAATCCCTCCATTGGTTCCAGAAATATTATGCCCTGTGAATCCACGCTTGCTCATCTTTGCTGGGTCTCGGTTTCTTTATCTGGAATATGGGTTACTTCGTGTCCTGTATGCCTCATCGGAGTTGTGTGAGTATAGATGTTTTGAACCTCTCAGTGAGAAGCAGGCTTCTCTGTGATTTTTGGAATCCACCAGCTGGCTCCTTCTGTAATTAGATGCGGAAGCCTGAGAACCTTGTAGAACTTAGCTGAGTTTCTATTTAACCCAAAGCGGTGGGTTCCCTCTAACTGAAGAAAAGTTGCAGTCACTCAATGGAAATGAGCAAGACAATTCTCTTTTCAGGAAAGGCTGGCTTAGAAGAGGAGGGACAGCTGTGGTTGGGTGAGTTGGGAGGTAGGAGATTCCCCAGAGTGGAACACTGCCATGCGGGGCATTCTGCCCCAAGTAGAACCTGGAGCCTGAGAATTTGTAGCCACTAGACTTCGAACACCTTCTGCACCACTTATTTCTGGCCCTGAGGAGTGGGGCAAAGTGTGAGCCCTAAGGACTTGAATGAAAAAGATGGGGTTTGGGGGTTTCAGCTAGGCATCCCAGGGCTGGAGGTGGAACTGCTGCTCTTGCTCCCCTCCTGTCCCATTCTCCCAGTATATAGAGCTGATGGCTTGAGGAGGGGTACGATACAGCCTTGGGGAAAGACAAGAGGAGCAGGACTCTGAACTTTGCACCATTAAATGCTCAGTCTCTGTACCTGTGGTCTTGAAATGTTTATGCTCCTATAAGAATGTTGAAAAAATATATATGTCCGTTGCACATCTTAAGTTGCCATCAAAAATCTTCAAAGTAATTTTGAATAGTTGCATTCAATGTCATTTCCAGAATATTGTAAATATTGACATTAAAAATACATCATTCCTTTAACACATCTGATGAACTTTAAGTACCAGAGCAATTTGGTACATCATCTATTAAACACATGAACAAGTTCTTAAACAGTCAGTTTTACATGGCTCCTGTTCCTTGAATTTATATTTTCATTGCAGTTACCCCACTGAATTTTATCTTTATATATTTTTATGCATGAAATCCTTTTATTGGCCACTCTATCATAATTTACTGTGACAAAAATATGTATGAAGATTTAAATTTAACTTTTAATGGCCAATGATCATACATTTCTAGATGTTAAGTGTTTTTGGTTTGAGTTATCATTATGATTACTAGTAATACACAGAAATTGGAAATTAAGGTATAATTATTAGTGATGCACAAAAAAGTCGTCGACAAAATAATATACATATCAATTTTTGAGGAATATAAAAGATAAAATGTAAAATATTAATGGAAATGCATCTCATATTTTCAATTAGTTCATGTATTCATTAATGAATATTGTTTTAAACTAAGAAAGATAAATTGATGGAAAAGAAAGACATTTTGTTATTGAAATGTAACTCAATTCTTTGAACTATTATCTAGTTATACTCCTAAAATCACATATTGGACTCTTATCAAAAATTACTTTCAATCTTCTCTCAGCTGATAATTCTTTTAAGTTTGTCCCTCTCCAGTCGTTTGAAAATAATTGAAAACTATCCAACTTGCAAACAGATATTTCCCCAATCATTAGAGATTCATTTTCAACACCTGTACCAGTATTTTATACAGTTCCTTCCATTGTACTCTGTAGGGTTTCACTCCTGAGATTTAGAATGGGTGAGAAGTTTGTCCTTCCTTTTGGAGAGTGGTGTGTGCGTGCGTGTGTGTGTGTGTGTGTGTGTGTGTGTGTTGGGGATGGGGGCAACTGGACAAGGGATTGATGGCTCACAGGGGCTCTGCATTTAATTTTAGAAAAAATCCATGTGAGAGTTGTGCATCTGCAAAGTCCCTCAAAACTATCCTTGCCTGAGTACACGCTGGATAGACTTCATGTTCTGCATATTCTGGTTTGAAACCTCTTGCATGGACACTGTACTGTATCTCTGCCTATTACATGGCACGGAAATTCTAGACCTCATCCCATGGGACAGTGGCTGTTGCTCTTCAGGGTGTGTATGGATAACATGAGGTATATATAAAAAGTGCACTTCCCCATGGACAATAACAAAAGACTGGAAACAATCAAAGTGCCTATTAATAGGAGGTTAGTGGGAGAAACTGTGGCATCTTTAAGCACAGTGGAATCCTCTACAGCTATAAAAAGAATGAGTGAACTTCAGTGAAAAAACCCAAGAACAGAACAGATATGGTATGTTACATTTTATCTAAGATAGGGATGAAGTGAATGTAAATCCATATTTGCTTATGTAAGAAACAATGGAAAGATAAACTAAAACCAAACAGAAATGGTTATCTGTAGGAGGAAGAGAACAGGGTGAGGAGACTGAGCAGAGATGGGACAAAATTTTGCTTGAATGTACCTTGTTTTGTGGTTTTGACTTTGAAACAGTGTCTCAGTTTTTACATCATTATAAAGCAACATTAAATCAAATGCAAAATAAAAAACAAAGCAAGTCCTAAAAATTAAAAGCAAACATGAAACAAATAAGCCTAATTGTGTATTACACTGGTGGCTTCACCACACAGAAAGGAGCTACTACAAATGACTTTAAAACATAGCTATGTTTTCTACATGCCCCTAGTAGGTAGATTCTAAGGACAGAAAGAGCTGCAAAGATTGTAGGTTGAAGGTTGTTTTCAGTAATCATATTATTAGTAATAATATTTGAACTGTTATTTTGAAACTCTCTCTAATATACTGTATATTATTTAAACAAATTAGGATAAAGCAGATAATATTATGAGTGTTAATAGGAATCAAGATTTTCTGCATGAGAAAGAACACAAACATAAAATTAAAGAAGTAAAAGCTCTGTAAATTTGATATGAGAAAAATCAATAAGAAGTCATGATATTTTTTCTCTTAAGAAATTTTTTTCCTAGCTATTTTTATAACAAAGACCTAGAAATAATAACCACCCCAGTAGAGATGAGCACTCCAACGATCCATGTTGTGGTCTTTAAATTCCATTGCCCTCCAAAAGGATCCAGGAATCCCTGGAGATATGGCTGATTCAAAGGCTGGAGTGGGAAATATACAAGATGAGCCTAGAGTATTATTTTATGTCAGAAAGCAAGGATGCTATGAAGACTATTTATTGGCGTTATGTGAGAAGACACAGGCATAGGATTTCATTTCCCAAAGATGAAACACCAGGCATCAGAAATAATAACTACTAACTACAATAGAATGAAACACTTCAAGTGTGTGTGTGTGTGTGTGTGTGTGTGTGTGTGTGTGTAAAGAACAAGCATTGGTAATGCTTTCCAAAACCAAAACAAACCTCTCATTGGTCACCTCTGGAGGATGCTATGGGATGAATTCATTATTCTAATAACTAGCAAATAAAGAGAATGAATTTATCTTACCGGTCCTGTATAAACAGTTTCCAGTGTAGCCAAATAGCTGATGAAAGGAACTTTTTATTTATAAAAGATTTCCAGCTAATATATGCAGAAGGAATACTATAATTACAATGTCTCCCTTTTGCAGCCACTAAAGAAATAATGGACCTGGGCAGTGATCATCAGTGACTGCTAAAATTGCTAGGTGAAAGGGAACTTTATAATATCAGATTGAATCCACTGATCAGTCTTAACATCACAAAGAAGTTTGCCTGGTGTTGTGTTACAGAAGGAAGCAAACAGCACCATTTATGAACCTAGATCTAATCAGGGCTCTGGATACCTGGTCAGGTATCATCAAGTGTTCCTGATTATAGGAAATGCGGCAGGTAGAGGAACAGGTGAAATAACCCATGGGGATACAGTGAAATAAACAGACTTTGAGAAATTTTTGGGACAAGTGACCCGGGATCATCAACAATAAATAAATAAATAAATAAATAAATAAATAAATAAATAAATGGAAAGTTGGGGCAGAAGGTAGGGGAATCCTATAGATTAAGACCATAGGAGACATTACTAAATGTGATGTGTGGATCTTTTCTGGATCCAACTTTCAAAAATCACTTGAAAACATTTGGGAACTTTTGACACTGAATGGTATTTGGTGTTAAGGCATTATTAGTATTTTGATAACACTACAACAAAACCATATGTCTCTGGTTCTCCTACCCTTTGAGTCTAAGTCAGGGGCCACCCAACTCTGTAAAAGATCACATAGTAAATATTTTAGGCTTTGCAGGTGGCCCCTGTTGCAACTTTAAGGTGATCTCTTCTGTAACTATTCAACTCAGCCCATGCATTATGAAAGCAATCATAGACAATATGGAAACTAATGAGCCAGTCATGGTGCCATGTGCCTGTAATCCCAGCAACTCAGGAGGCAGAAGGAGGAGAATTGCTTGAACCCGGGAGGTGGAGGTTGCAGTGAGCTGAGATCCTGCCACTGCACTCCAGCCTGGGCAACAAGAGTGAGACTTCGTCTCAAAAAAAAAAAAAAAAAAAAAAAAAGGAACTAATAAACTAACGAGCATGGTTTTATGCCAGTAAAACTCTGTTTCCAGTAACAAATGACAAGCTATAATTTGTTGACCTCTGGTCTAATTCATTGGGTTTGCTGTCAAGCCTAGGAATCTATATTTTTAACAAGCATGCCAGGTGCTTATGATCAGGCAAACAGCCCTGGGAGGTGAATATAGTTATCCCTTCCATTTTCACACCAGAAAACAGGCTTAAGTAGGAAAAATGACTTGCCCAGGGATCCACAGCTAGAAGGTAGCAGAGCTGTGTTTATAGGGGAAAATCCTGGCTGCCATGTCCCCTCTCTGCCACATTCACCCCACTGGAGGATGCTAAGGAGAAACAGGGGGAGAAGGCTGGGAAGAGCACAGGAGGAGAGAGAAGAAAGTTTTTCTGTGCATTGTATCCCTAACTCATCAGTCTTCTTTAGGATGAGGCAGAGCCAAAAGGAGTGAGATAGAGCCTGCACACGTGCAGAAAGCCCAGCGGATAAAAGGAGGATGTTCTGGAGCATAATGTCAACTTCCTCACCAGGTCTGCAATCCAGAGTTGCCAGACTTTGCAAATAAAAATACAGGACACCTTGCTAAATTTGAATTTTAGACAAAAAAAAAAGCCAACATATTTTTAGTATGAGTATGTTCTATGCAATATCTGGGACATAAGTATAATTTTTTAAAATGTTGTTCAACTGAAAGTCAAATTTAACTGGGCATCCTGTGTTTAATCTGGCAGCCCTGCTAACGTGTGAAGCAAATTAGTAAAAGCATTTAACAAAATATTGGTGGGAAAGGGGTCAAGGTCACCCCCTGCCAAGGGACTATGGGAATCATCAGGAAGCTGCTTACAGGGAAGGTTCAGAGTTCACAGAGACTGAGCTTCTCTGGCTTGGCCAGATTTGGGAATAGGCACTTGATGCTCTCCTGTAAGTTCTTGGTTTGTAGTTGACCTTGACATGGATATCCTAAAGCCTGAGTTGATCAGGTACCTCTTGTCTCTCTACACAAAATCTGGAATCATTCAGAACCCATCTGGTCTCTGGGTATAAAAGGAATTTTATGGAGATAGTGACATTCTCGTTCTGCTCCAGCTTGATCCGTAGTGTACCAGGAGTGGTCATTTTTCTGAGAAACGGTCTTAATAATGCAACCAGGATTGCATTCTTTAATTAGTGCTCATTCCCCGTGAGCACTTTCAGCCTCCCAAATTTTTCAAACTCTCATCCTCTTTGTGAGCATGTGTGATAGGTCAGGGAAAGGCAATGATCGGTGGAAGGTACCAAGGTAGCCGTGGGCTCTTCCCCAGTGCAATCCAAAGATCTGTTTCCCTCCAAGTACTTATTTTTATTTCTAGAATCATTCCTTGGAATATTTCCTGTGCCTTATTACTTACATCTCTTTTTTCAGGGTTCAGCCTTAAAATCCTTAATTATCTCATTGAGAGCTTGGGTCAGTAGCTAATATTTCTTATGCAGTGCTTGGGCAAGGTACCCTATCTTCATCTGTGACTTGGGGATGATAGAGGCTTCTATCACACAGGAATGGAGAGAGCTTAAATAAGGGATGTATGTAACATGCTGTGGCCAGCACTCATTATTAATTAATTAGCACTATTCTTATTGTTCATATTACTGTTTCTGGCTAGTTTATGTCTGGCTAAGTTTTACCATGGGACGTATTTGTCAATAATTTTTTACCGGGGAAGGCTTTGACCACTACCTTTCCCAGACAGGGTCTCTCCAGAGAATGGTATTGGTCACCTTGGAGGAAGATCAGCATGGATTTTTATGGGAAATAAGGAAATTTGAGGAAATTAGGTTTGTTATGCTGCACAGTAGCATATAAAGACACACACAATGAACAGTTACTGTACTTTGTGTATATACTTTTGCACTTAACGATGCTCAATGGGTTTTTACATACATAATCTCATTTTAGGCAGGCTGTTGCTTCACTCTTATTTTGAAGATAAGGAAACTGAAGTGCACAGGGTGTTAAGTGCTTGTCAAAAGTGACATTTAGAACCCAGGGCTTCTGACTTCCAACATCATGCTCTTTGTTGTATCACAGGCTTCTTGAAATATTTTATTAATAGTCCATTCCTGGAAGAATGCAGTATAAACTTCATCCACATTGGTTGTGCTGCTTGGTTAGAATTTTGAAGATTCTTCTCAGGGGAGTCTCCATGACCAATTAATATCCTTCTGACACTTTTTTGCTCAAATACTTAAGTGCATTACAGTTTACACCCAGGACACTTGAATTTCTGTCTGTAAAATTGAGGCTTTCAAACTGGAATACCTCTTCTGGGTTGTGTTTAAAATTATGAAATGAGATACACACCAGCATCAATTTTTAGGACTCTGTTATTGAAAAATTTTCATCAAGAGAAATGTTCCTATATTCCTGACTTCTATTTTTTTTACATCAACAAACCAAGTGCAATAAACCAGTCTATGATATTCTATCACAAACATAATTTTTCTTTTAAAAATATTAATTTTTTGATAAATAGAACTTAAATTAGGTCCACTGGTTTCCTTATATTCGCACTTTTTTTTTTACTATTTTTAAATTTTCAAGTGTGATACATGATTATCACAAAATTTCAAACAGCATAGAAATATATATATATATGTGTGTGTGTGTGTTTATGTGTGTGTGTGTATGTGTGTGTGTGTATATATGTATATATATATATATATATATATAGCAAAAAGTGGGATTTTTCTCTTTGGTCATTACTCACATACTATAGAGGAAGCCACTGGTTTGTTGGTTTTCCGAACATTTTTCTATGCATTTTCAAGGTTACATGGTATCACTATATATTTGCATCTGTATCCACATATACATTTTTACATGAATAAGAATACTACAATATATTTTTCAATGCCTTGTGTTGTCACTTAATATATCTTAGATATATTTACATATCAGTACACATAGCTCTACTATATTCTTTTTAACTGCTGCCTATAACTTTAATGGTGAACAAATTTTTGCCTTTAGAATGAATGAAATAAACACCTTTAACTCAGTATTTTTGCTTACCTGAGTGAATTATCTTTCTAAGACTCCTAGAGGTGAAATTGCTGGGTTCAAAGTCACTTGCACCTTTAATGTTGACAGATTCTACCAAGCTGCCCTCAGAAAAAGCAGAAACATTTCTCACCAGTGGCATTTGAGAATAACTCTTTCCTCACCCCTCTCAAACACAAGATAGCAACAATTTTTTTCAGTCTTTCCCAATTGACATTCAGAAATGTGTTTCTGTTGTTTTAATTGGCATCTTTTCATATGTTTGTGGCCATTTCTAGTCCTTTTGTGGATCATCTGTTCTTACCCTGTATTCATTTTTCTGCTGGGTTGCTTTTCCTAACTAATTTGAAGGAGCACTTTGTATTATATGGATTTTAATTCTTTGTCTGTTACATATATTGTACTTTTTTGGCCATTTGTCTTTTAGCTATGCTTATGTTGTCTTTTGCCATGCAAAAGAATTTAATTTTTGTAAGTTGTATCTCTAAATCTTATTCTTGATGGCTTCTTGAACATGTGTCTTATTTAGGAAGGCCTTCCTTTTCTGAGGATAAAGAATACTTTTCTAAGTTTTCTTCTAATATTATTATTGTTTTGTTTTTTATGTTTAGCTCTTTAATCCATCTGGAAATGATTTTTGTATATGGTGTGAGGTAGGTATCTAAGCGTATTTTTTTTAATGAATAGTTCATTGTCCCAACACTTTAATTACTAAGCCATTGTTTCATATATTAAATTCCAATATTTATACATGGGTCTGCCTCTGGACTCTCTAGTTTGTTCCATTAATAAATTTGTCTACCCTATGCCAAAATGCAATGTGTTCATTACATAGTTTGATAAAATGCTTTGCTATCTGATAGAGTAACTCTCCCGTATTGTTCTATTTCAAGTATATCTTAGTTTTTATCAAATAATTACTACTTTAGATCAATTTTGGGTTCATCTTGTCAATTTCCATACACCATTTCATTTGGGTTTTCATATATATTGTGTTAACTTTTCAGATTAATCTAAAGAAGAAATGAAATATGTATAACATTGAGTCTTCCTATTCAAGGAAATGACACAACTTTTCATTTGTTCAGATCCTCTTTTATGTTTTTCAATGCATTTATTTAAATAACCTTGGACATTTTCTGCTAAGGTTTATGCTGAGGTGTTTTAAACACTTCTGTTGTTATTGTACAAATAATCTTATTTTCCATTGTATTTTGAAGTCATTGCCACCGGCATGTGAGAATAGTTTGATTTTTGTGTGTTTCTCTTATTTCTGGGTAGGCTGCTAAATCATATAATGGTTCTAACTGCTTTTTCGTTAATTGTCTTGAATAGTCATATCATATCCATACAACAGGCAGTTTGACGTTTTGTTTTCAATATTTCTACCTCATTTAAAAAATTCTTGCTTTATTGCATTGGTTAGGACCTCTTGAAAAATGTCACATAAAATTCGTGATAGAAGATACTTTGTATTTTCCTAACGTTTTGTCAGTAAATATGATATTTAGTATATTTAATAAAGGAAGTTACCTTCTATGAATTAGACTTTTAATCAGAAAAAGATGTTGGAAATTTTTGGCATTTTTGAAAATATGGTTTTTCTTCTTTTATCTTTTAATTTAGTAAATTTAACAGTAGGTTCCCCAAGGTTGAGACATTCTTACATTTCTAGGGTAAACCTTATTGAGCTATATATAATATGGAATTCTTGTAATATAGTGCTGATTTGATAAATATTTTATTTGTATTTGGAGAGTATATTCATAACATAGTTTTACACACATATAGATAACTATGTATGTTGATATTTATTATGTAAATATACATGTAAGGCTGTATGTTAAATTTGACTGATTTTGTCTTCAGGGACGTTTAAACCACATAGAATGGTTTGGGAAAGTTTCTATCTTTTTTTGCTTTGAAAAAGTATAAATAAGACAGAAAACTTTAATAGAACTCAACCAGAAAACTATCTGAACCTTCTAGTTTTTTAATGTATAGATTTTTTTTACAATTATGGTTTTTGTATTCAACTTTTCTATTTAACTTTTAAAAAATTAATATTTTTAGTAAACCAATAATGCATGTATACTTTCAAATTTATGGATGTAATAGTCTTAACATTTTACATTTGTCTCCTCTACATCCCTTATTAATCTTGCCAAAAGTTTATGTAACTTTTGAGAGAACTAACAATTGATTGTGTAGATCAATTCTGATTTTTATTTTCCTTTTGGCTGGCTGTTTTGCTTTGTTTGTTTTACACTGATTAATCAGTATTTATTTTATTTTATTGTTTATTTCTTCTTACTTTTCTTGCATTTGTTTAGTGGATCTTTACTGCCTTTTTTTTTTTCTTGCTGAATCCTTATTAATTTAATTATATTTTCACTATTTTAAAAATAAATGCTTAAATGCTGTAATTTTTTTTTCAAAAATTACTTCAGTTATATTTCATAGATTTCAAGAAATAGGACTTTAGTTATTGTTACAATAAATACTTTTACATTTTATTTTCAGTTTTTTCTTTACCAAATAATTTAATTGCCCAAAGACAACTTTTAAAAAATTATTCTTTCTTGTTAACTTTTATTTTATTATATTTGATACAGAAAATGTTTCTTATTTTTACTTCATATTTATTTTTTATCTTGGAATTCCAGTTTTCCTTTGAGATTTAATATGTGATTGGTTTTGATACTTTTTTTAGGTAATTGAAAATAATGTGCAATTTTTTAAGGAAGCTGAAAGATGCACACAATCACAACACTCATATCTACTTATTGAAACCCATTATTTGTATTTTTAAAGTGTATCTTCATTTATGTTGTCTTCTTGATCTTTCAATTTGTGAAGCATTTTAGTTTTCCATTATAATGATAGCTTTGTCAGTTTTCTTTTATTTATAACTTGTTTTTACTCTTTATATATATATATACACACACATATACATATATATGTATTATTTCTATATATTTTTATAAATTTTTATATATTGTTGCTATATTAATTGGAGCATAAACTTCATCATCGTAATGGTGAATTTTACCAGCTTTAAATATAATATTAATTATGATATAAATTTAATATAAATTATTTAGTCTTACTTTAGTTTTTGACATTTTGAATCCTTTTTTTCACATATATATGAAACAACAGACAACGTGTAAATCACAATAAAAGAAATGTAATTGGCTATATATATCTGTATATGCATATATATATATACATGTATATGCACATATATGCATATATGTAGCCAATTATATTTTTCTTTTATGTATAGTTGTATTTTTAGCACTCTTCCATTTTCAATGTTTTCTGCCATTTTGTTTTAGACATGTCTATTTTAAATAACATGCAACTTGATTTTTCTAACCTAAATTTCTCTCTCATTTAAGAGGTGATATAACTCATTTGTACTTATTGTCTCTAGTGGTGTTTTCTAAGCTTCATTTTCATTTTGTGCTTTTTAGTCATCATTATCCTACTCCGCCTTTCTGTAGTCTTTTTGGTATTAGTTAAAGATTTTGGCTTTATTTAAAAAACGGTTTGAAAGCTATATGTACTATTTCTATTCTAGAAGCTACTTTAAAATTTTAGTAAGCATATTTAAATTTAAAGTGTTAATCTCAACAATTAATCACTGTAAGCTTCTTTTTTCCTTTCTATAACATACAGCCTTTATCAGGCTTTTAATTATTTCTATATCTACTCTTCTATGCATTTATGGTTGAAATTATTGGAAAGTTTCATTCCAGATAAGTATGTTAGTTGTATCAGTGGTAGTACTAATAGCATTATTAGTATTATTATTTACTTTATGTCTCTATTTTACAGGAAGCCTTTATTAGTAATTGTATTACTTTTACTACCAAATTAACAACCATTATTCAAATTTAAATTGCATTTTTGTGGCTTATTTGCTCTGCATTTTTTGTTATGTTCCAATAATTGCATAGCTTGGGTTATTTTTACTGTTTTTCTAGAATATGTATTCAATTAGCTTGGCTCCTATATTTTCTGAAAGGATGTGAGTGGTAAGCTTTCTGAGTCTTTGCTTGTCTGAAAGAAGTATCTTCAGTTTTCTTTACACTGGATACAAAACTATCCTGATTAGAAAGTCCCAGGTTGAAAATAACTTTTCTGGCTAGGCAAAGTGGCTCACGCCTGTAATCCCAGCACTTTGGGAGGCCAAGGTGGGTGTATAACTTGTGGTCAGGAGTTTGAGACCAGCCTGACCAATGCGGTGAAACCCCGTCTCTACTGAAAATACAAAAATTAGCCAGGCATGGTGTTTCATGCCTATAATCCCAGCTACTCAGGAGGCTAAGGCAGGGGAATCGCTTGAACCCAGGAAGCGGAGGTTGCAGTGAGCGGAGATCGCGCCACTGCACTCCAGCCTGGGCAGCAGGAGTGAAACTCTGTCTCAGAAAAAAGAAAGAAAAGAAAAGAACTGCTCTGCAAACTTGTATTATAATTTACCTCCTAAAATTCTTCAAGTGGTTAAGGCAAACATGATTTCCCTTTTTGGAAACAAGATTGCCCATCTCCCAACTTATTCGTTCTTAATTATTCATTGTTATTATTTCTCTAACTGACCCCCCATAGAAATAAGAACTTTAGGCCGGGCGCGGTGGCTCAAGCCTGTAATCCCAGCACTTTGGGAGGCCGAGGCAGGCGGATCACGAGGTCAGAAGATCGAGACCATCCTGACTAACACAGTGAAACCCCGTCTCTACTAAAAATACAAAAAATTAGCCGGGTGTGGCAGCGGGCACCTGTAGTCCCAGCTACTCGGGAGGCTGAGGCAGGAGAATGGCGTGAACCCGGGAGGTGGAGCTGGCAGTAAGCCGAGATCGCGCCACTGCACTCCAGCTTGGGTGACAAAGCGAGACTCCGTCTCAAAATAAATAAATAAATAAATAAATAAATAAGAAAGAAGGAAATGAGAACTTTAAGTAATACCTCATCCGGACATAAATAGACAACTCTTTTTTCAATATTAAGTAGTTTTTTTAACAATGAGTTCCATGTATTAGGCAAAAGTTTCAGTTCCTGAAAATCTATTTACTAATGATGCAGTTAGTTCCTGAGTTTTCACACATGCTGTGAATTTTCTCCCACTTATGCTAACATCTCTAGCCTGCTGGGCAAAGAGGAGTTCCCTAATGTTTTTCTCAGTAAAGGGTACCCTGGGTGTTTATCCTTGTCAGTCACTTCCTTTTCCCCTTGGCTTTCAGTTTGGCAGATTCACAGGTGGTTGATATCCTCCTTAGGCTATTTTTAAAGACTCTCCCTACTGTCCTTTGAGATCTTACTAAGAACTGTGGTGAATTCTCTTTCTGTCCATCTCCTACCTTATTAGCACGTGGTCTTCCACGCTTTTGGAATGTCTCTGTCTCCTTCACTTGAAACACTGAGTCCTAAATTGTGGTGAGAGATTCGAGATTGTCAGTTAGAAGCTAAAGTTCTGCAGATCAGATGCACATGGAATATACTGTGCCACTGCAGCCAAGAATCTAACCTGATGTTTGCAGATACTGATCCTTGGTGACTGGCTTAGTCATTCTGCTGACTTCTTGCTGGACTTGCTCTTAAGGTTAGATTTTTCTGTAGTGCTAGATTCTGAAACCTTCTCTCTCACTTCAGATTACCTTGATCTTTCTACACACTGAGTGCCAAGGAACCTACCTTCCCTCAGGTGTTACCTCTAGTTGCTAGTCTAGCTGTCTCCTTTATCGTAGGTCTCCAAAGTCAGCATCTTCACACACCTCTGATAGAAGTTGCATAAAGCTGTGACTATCTTAGAATAGGATGCATCAAGAGTGCATCTATGTGTGAAGAGTGCAGACAGATAACACTCATTCTGGCCATCTGGTCACTCTGTGTGCCTCTATCTCAACCCCTTTTAGGTGGGAGGACACACCATGCTCCCCATTCGCTGGATGCCTCCTGAAAGCATCATGTACCGGAAGTTCACTACAGAGAGTGATGTATGGAGCTTCGGGGTGATCCTCTGGGAGATCTTCACCTATGGAAAGCAGCCATGGTTCCAACTCTCAAACACGGAGGTAAAAAGGGGGTGCGTAGGAATCTTGATTGGGGGAGGGCTCATAAGAGCTATCTCAGCCCAGAACTTGGACCTACTGAACAAGACATTAGGTGGGATTTAGAGCCAGCAGAGTGAATGCAGGCATTAGTGGGAGCAGAGAGCTTCTTAGTAGGAAAAAAAAAATGGAACTGTAGGAAATGTGGTGTAATTGTCAAAAGAGCATGAAATCAGAGGTCTAAATTGAGACTCAAGTCATGCCTCTGTTAAATCTGCTACCCTTAAAAATCACAAATGTTTCACTATGACAAAAAAGGAAAACAGAACAGCTATGAGTTTTTCAATTGTGCCATCTTGTGGAAACACCCACTACTTAGTATGCCCACATAATCTGGGTGCACAAAGGTTTTAGGTATGCCAAGCCCAGGGATGTACCAGATGGTCAATTTGGGAAGACCAGTTTTATAACTGGTAGAGTCATGTGTGAACGTCTAGGAATAAAATAAACCGTGTTTATTTTATTACTATGTTTTTACTATGTTTATTAGTATGTTTACTGTTAAACTTAGTAATAAATAGCCATTATATTTTTTATAATTGTAATTTGCAATAATAAAAAATGCTAGTAAACATAAATTAATAGTAGCTGACATTTAGTGGTAGGCACTTTTCTAAGCATGTTAGCTCTATTAATTCAGTAATTTTTGCAAAAACACCTGTTGAGATTCAGGTTAAAGGAAGGGGGTCTGCTTGAGGTACTGAAATGGGCTGGCCAGGGTCTCACAGGTAAGAGCCTCCAAAGCAGGGACAAAGCCTGGGCTGTAATCCTAGGACTCCTCTGCCTCCAAAGCCCATCAAGATGCTTCTCAGTGATGCATGGACCATGCCATGTTGCCCCAGGGAATTCAGTGCAGTTTGTAGGCAGTAAGGAGCTCAGTCTTTCAACCCAGTCGACCTATGAAACATCCCTATGAAACATCGCAATTCTTTTTATGGTCTTCTGTTTGCTGGGAAAATGTAAACACAAGACCCTTTTGGTATTGAAATCTTATTTGAATATTCAACAGAGTGTCTTTCTTCTTGGAAGCTATGTTTGTCTCTGCTCTCCTATGTCTTGACCACTTGATTAAGTGAATTACAAAGACTGAAAAGAAATTATTTTTTAAAACGTGTACTATCTCATGATTCACAAGCTCAGTGGGGCCTGACCACATTTCCCAAAGTAGAACAAAATATTTTAACAATCTTTTAAAATAATGAAAGTATATATACTAGAACCCATTTGTTATGGTGTTTAAGAAATTGTTACTGTTTTCGCAGGGGAGGAAGGGTTAGGAACACACACACACACACACACACACACACACACACACACACACACACACCATGCATGCACCTGAACACTGCCTCCTTGTAGTTTGGTGGCCCCAGTAAACAGAGGTTCTGGGCTGAGGTTGCTATTGGTCTTAACAGAAGACTCAGCATCTGTTCTTGAGCTGGCTCATAGCAGCTAACAGGGTGTTTGCAGTTTCTTCTAAGACTCACAGAGGCATTGGCCTTAAAGGCAGGCTTTCTGCCCTCAGCCACTTCCCCCACTCCACCCACCATAGCAGCCACATACTGACAGTCTCTGATCATCGGTTTCTCCATGGAAATCAACAAACCTGGATAGTCCAACATTAGAAGAGACACTCCCAGGTGCCTTTGATCTTGGCATTAGCAGCTGCTACTGTAGTTCGAACTGAATCCCTTTTCCTGGAGGTGAAGGTAATGGAGGGTGGAAATGGGTCTCTAATATGAATGGGGAATATAAGCAGCTGGAGACTTATCAGGCTGGTAAAGAAATGAGCCAAGGGGCCATCGTAAACTCCAGGGTGAATATAACCAGGCGGATGCTGACACAGTGATGGTTTGACCAGCCCTCCCAAAGTCAGCGTGACATGAGACAATACTGGAAACAAGGCACTGTTGAGCAGTGTAGGGACATGCAAAGGAGAAAAAAGACAGTGCTTTTACCTAATTAGATACAGACTAATGGTGGCAGAGAAGGGAAATAATATTTGTTCAGCTGCTGAGCTAGAGATTATTCTTTGTATTTTTATCATTATGACCAATCTTTAAATGCAGAAACTGAAGTTCGGGGTCAGTGACTTGACCAAAGTTATGCAGTGGTAGAGTTAGGGAGAAGTGAAAACCAACCTAAAAACTAGACAATGAAGCCTTGAAAATGCATATATTCAGTGTCAGTAAAGAATTATCTTTGAGGAATTGGAAATGCATTGCAAATTATACACTTGGGTCTCAAGTGGCCTGCTGGGGTTGGCCAGGCATGCATTACTTGTTTTCTTCCTACTCCTCCTTATGGCTTCTCCTTCAGTATGTTGGGCCATACAGTCCCTTTTCGTGGTCTCATTTCATCCTTACAACACTCCTGGGGGTGGTTAAGGCAGACATTTGATTCCATCTTACAGATGGACATGCTGAGATCCTGAGGTTAACAGACTTGAACTGGCCACCCAGAAGGCAGTGGTGAATCAAGCAGTTAGTCCTATTGTTAAGGACTTTAAGAGAAACTGGAAGCATGGTTTAGTGCAAGCAGCAGGGAAGGATGGGTCTTGCTGCAAAAGGGTCCTATGTAATGACTCAGAGGCAAGTGTGGTGACGTGCACAGAGTCTGCAACTGGGAGCCTGCCAGGAATGAGAGATAAGAGGAGATAGGCATGCAGGGGCCAGAGGGTGCAGAGCTCCTTCATGGCAGTTTCAAAGTGAGGCAGGCTCATGAAAGGGGGAGGGACAGGTCAGAAGCCCATGTCCACTATCAAGTGAAAAATGAATGCAGCTCAGTCATCCTGATGAGATTCAGGACTAGAGAAGAAAAGTGAGGTAAAAGAGAAGAGAGTATGGGGAGTCAATGGTCAATGTGGGCCTGGCCCAAGAAGTGGAGTATGAAGGGCAGCAGAGGACTCCACCAGCCACTGCTGCTCACTGCACTGTGCACCAGACAGACAAATATACCAGTGCTGTATACAGCCTAGCCTTTAGCTTGTGCTTGTGAGAGCCTCGGCTCTGCATAGAAACTAATCCGGGAAGTTGTTGCTTTTTGCCGAGTCTGAGCCACAGGACCAAGGCTGAGCTTTGGGTGTAACTTCCTTGTTCTTCTCACTCTTTCAGGTCATTGAGTGCATTACCCAAGGTCGTGTTTTGGAGCGGCCCCGAGTCTGCCCCAAAGAGGTGTACGATGTCATGCTGGGGTGCTGGCAGAGGGAACCACAGCAGCGGTTGAACATCAAGGAGATCTACAAAATCCTCCATGCTTTGGGGAAGGCCACCCCAATCTACCTGGACATTCTTGGCTAGTGGTGGCTGGTGGTCATGAATTCATACTCTGTTGCCTCCTCTCTCCCTGCCTCACATCTCCCTTCCACCTCACAACTCCTTCCATCCTTGACTGAAGCGAACATCTTCATATAAACTCAAGTGCCTGCTACACATACAACACTGAAAAAAGGAAAAAAAAAGAAAGAAAAAAAAACCCTGTAAGGCAGTTTGGCAAATATATATATATATATATATATTTATATATCTAACTATCTATCAATCTATATCTACAGAGAGTTACCTTCTCTAGTACACAGAGAAGCTGCTGATACAGAAAACCACAAGACTTTAACAACTCAGAAACTCTAAAATATTAATAATACAAAGGAAAATTCCCTTTGACTTAAGCTGTGGCCCATGCTTCTAATGCTACGGCTCTTTGGAGCAGAAGACCTGGACCATGCAGAGAGACAATCTTTGGGATGAGAGCTCTGGGACGGGAGGAGTTAAGGTGGTGCTCAGTCGCTGCTGTGTGTGTCTGTTACCCCGGAAGCTCACCACAGGCACATGTGGGGACTGCATGGCTGTGCTCAGCAAAGAAATGATGCCTGAGCAGGGTCCTTGCCTCCACTTCTTCCCCATTTCCTCCACTTCAGGACAATGTTCTAATTTGTCCATTCTAAAAAGTGTAATCTTGATGCTTTTGGGAATCAATGATGGCACCTACGGGTAAACACAGAACAGACAACCCCACAACACAAAACCATGACAAGAGCTGACAGCATCCATCCTGGGTGTAAGCTTCTTGCTGGAGTTGCAAAGGATGTGTCTTTCTATTCTCAGAACTTAAAGAACTGGACTTTCTGGAGTAAAAGAACCACAGAAGAAAAAATAGCTGAAACCTGAACCCTGCCAAGACACTGCCACCTGTCTTTTCCATCATTGCAAAGATTCCTTGGCCTCACCTCCCACTTTCAGGCCCCTGGGAAGCTTAGGGGGTTAGGAAACAGGTCCCCATGTTATCTTTGAATGTAGACACAGCACGCTTTAGGGTTGCAATAGCAAGAGACTTGGTTGCTTGTAGGTCATTATAACGAATGCCCCCTGGTCCTCTCAGTTTCTCATCCTGCTTCCCTAGATCCTAGACCCCACTTCCTGGGTCTCTACTGAGTCCCAGGTAAACCCCACTGCCAAGGAAGGGAGCCAGGTCTAGTGAGAGGCTGCAGCAGTGAGTGTTTCAGGAAAGCAAGCAGTGGAGTGGGTGAGAGCCAGCAGGGGAGAATCTACTTGGCACCTGTGCCAGGCCCCTTGGCATTCTCCTCACGTTTCCAGCCCCTGGGAGGATTGATGCATCTGCCTTTGAGCTGTTGTGAAAACGCAGGGGCTGAGAAATCACTTTTGTGGGCTGGGGTAGGGGGAAGGGCTGAGGCTTCTCTGGGAGATGTCCAATGAGCGGCCAGTGCTGCAGGCTTGGAATCTTAATGAGGCCTGAGCCCTGACCGGAGAGAGGGAAGGAAACATCTGTGCTGGGGCCTGCTCCCTCTGCCCCAGCACTGGGGAATCACTGCCTTCCTGGCTGCTGCCACATACCACAGTGGGGCCGACCTCTGGGCCTCCCTGTCACATGAAACATGGAAGCCAACAGCCTGGCCCCACAGATCTCCTCTGCTGGAGAGGAGAGGATGTGTTCCTCCCAGGCCACGGGGCCCCTCTGCCTTGCCCCAAGCACAGAGCTACCTAAGGGACTGACCTTTGCCACACTGGAGCTCACCTCCCGGGGGCCTCTGGCCTACCCTTTTCCCTGCCAGCTGAAGAGACTGCCGGCAGCCTGGACGTCCTGGTTAGCTGAAGGCAGCTGAAATGTGGGCCTCCCTATGTGGGGTTTAGTACTGAATTATGTGTTTGTGGTTTTGCTTCTTTTTGTAGACCCACAAATATTTTTATTTGAATAGTAAAGAGCTGTGCTCAGATTGTAGCCATGGTTGGGATTTGGGATCAACGAGGCTGGTTAGCTGGACTGGGAGGGGAGGCAGGTGAGATGGGAATTTGGTGTTGGTTTTCTCACTGTGCTGTGCTCCTAGCCCCTGAGGACTTTGCAGGAAAGCTGTTTGGATTGACCACCTCAAGGAACTCCTTTGCTGTCCTATGACAATTACTCCTCTTGTCTTTCCACCTAGAGGACCGTTATGCCGGGGCTGTGAGTTCTGGCTGAAGCTGCACAATCTGGCTTTGATCTGGGTAGCTAAGAACAGGTGTTCAGGGAGGGCATGGTCTGGAGGCGCCTGAGGGAAAAGTATCTTCTGGTTAGAAGTGAAGCACCAATGCTCCTGTTGCTTCCCTTCTCCCATATCCTCTCCTGAACAAACACTGTGTGGCTTCTGTCTTCTTGGCTGTGTGTTTCAAAACTGA
Source organism: Homo sapiens (assembly GCF_000001405.40). NCBI lineage: Eukaryota > Metazoa > Chordata > Mammalia > Primates > Hominidae > Homo > Homo sapiens. Next base: position 87,874,564 of record NC_000015.10, on the reverse strand, counting down.
TAGTCACTGATGGGCTGGGAAGAAGCAGGAGAAGAACTGGGTTGGAGATGGGTGGAAAACTGGGAATAAGGACCATGCTATGGTTTTATCTTCAGGGCACTGATTCATCATGGCCTAATGAAAGAAGGTGATTCCTTGGGGGAACAAGAAGCACTGAAGGAGACCGCAGTTGTCAGATTGCTGCCACCTTAGGCCCACGGGCTTTCACGCTGATCTTGGGGTCATGTTCTTACTGTGTCCATTGTAAGCAGCTGGCTGTGGAAGAGTGCCAGAGAGAGAGGGGCAGAGCAGGGAAGGGTAGCGAGGGAAGATATATTACTTTGATATATTAGCCTTGGCAGATTAAAAAAAAAAGATTTATTTTGGAGAGTAAAGGAGGCAGAAAATAGGGCCATGGAAATTGCAGGGTACACTATGGCTCTGGGGAGTGTGGCATGTACTGGGACACACCTGTCCCTCCTATATTGGGACAGGACTGATAAGGCTTAGTACACTGTATCTTAATTTCCCCATCTGCAGAATAAGGGGTACACCTGCTAATCTCTGGCCCCTTCTAGCTCTGAGTTCTTAGATTCTGACAACGTTGTGTCACTGTGCCATTTTTCTCAATACCATTCTGGAATGGCAGGACAGCCTTGCATAGGTGGGGGGCAGTTGCCGCTGAAGGCTCACTGGGCCTGGGCAAGGCTGAGTTCCAATAAGACACTCCTCTCCTTCTTTGCCCCTTGTCTCAACATTTCGGAGTCTGAAGTGTCTGAGACGACTGTAAGCCAGGAGGGGAGCATTTGGTCGGCTTCCCATCCTGGCATTCCTACATACCAGAAAAGCACTGTCGACGGTCCATTTATTTATTTATTTATGAAGAGCCTAATGTGATGAAATGTGTTGTGAAATGACATCCTATTAGCCAATATGGCCACTCCAGTTCATTTCACCCTCATTTTCCCATACCAAAGTCCACCTTTTAGAAGACCATGTCACATCGCCTCTGAGAGCTTAGCTTTGAAGTGAGCTCTTTTGTGTCTTTTGATGAACGCTCCAGGGCACCCAGGCTGGTCTCTCTGCCATGCCAACCTCACCGGATCCTCTCCTGGACTGAGTGAGAGTGACCTGCTGTTGGGTGTCCACCTTGGAGTAGGGTGTTGTGGCCATGGGACCTCCCAATTCTTCTTTCTTTGGATGTGAACCTAACTCTGCCCTCTAATGATATCCCTGAACTCTGAGGGGACCTTGGGCATCACTGAACCTCCTCTAGTCAAGAGACAAGAAAAAGGAGGTGCTGCTTCCTCCATTCAGCAGATCATGCACAAATTACTCCTAGACAGAGGCTTCCCACTTGAGGCAAAGGATCTTTGGTCCTTCTGGGTTCAGGTTGAACATTAATGTTCTTCTCTAGTGATGCCTACTTTGCGGAATACACTAGTGCAAGTCATTTTGGTGCTAAATACTGCAGAAACCAACACCAACGGGAGAGCTGTCAGCCAGCTTCTGGGGCTGCACGAGACTCAACTCAGAAGTAGAAGTGAGTCAGCCATGCCGGGAGAGTACAGGGTGCATTGGAAGTTAAGTAGAAAAGTGGCAGGGTGAAAAGACCAGCAAAATTTCTGATTTTGCTATTAGTTATCCACGTGGCCTTGGCCAAATCAGCTTATTTCTCATTTGAGACGTTTAAGAGGTTTGTATAGATATTTTTAGAGTCCTTTTCATTTTTTTAAAGCTAGGTTCTGGTCCCACCTGATATATATGTACTTGCTTGTTAAAAATAAGAGATGAAGTGAAAGATAAGGAAGGAGACGAAGAAAAGTTACCAATGGCAAAGGATTGATTATAGAAGACAATGAAAGAAGGCCTGGTGACTGGTAGATTTGAGGAATATTGTACAGGGAGCCAGGCAGACAAGCCAGAGACTTCATTTTTATGCTCTTCACAGGAGGTCACTGGCCTAGCCACTTGCCTGCGTTTCACCAGGCTGTTCCCCTCAGCTAGTCAACCTTCCCTGTTCAAAACCAACATGCTAACACTTGGCAGAAACTATTCCAAGATATGGAGAGAGGCCTGCCCATCTCTCATGCAGGCCACTGGAAATCAACTCTGGGTCAAAACCGACAAGATTTTTATCTTTTAATGCTTATTGTAAGAGGCCGGGATGTTTGAAAGAGGGCAGCGTCTTAAGTTGCAGACTATTCACCAAAGTCCTTTTCTATTCAGGAATGACTAATGACTTTCTTTGTTCCCCTTTTCCAAACCAAACAGCAGCAGTATTACCTTGACTCCAAAGTACAGTGATTGCAATGGACAGTCTTGAGATTAAGGGTCTTTTTAGTGCTTTGCTCGGAATCTGGAGCAAGGAAATGTCTAGGGATGTTTGTTGAATGAACCCACCTGCCAGCAGTCCAGAGAGCTGTCCCAAAGGCCCCTGAGATGTCTATTGTCTGCTTTGGTAGGGAGCCAACCTGCTAGAAGACTCAAGGGCATTTGCCTTAGAGAGAAAAAAAAATGGCACATTTAGTTCCGGGCTTGGGTGCTGAAGTCACTGTGTTTTTGGCTCCTGAAGCTCCACTTTCTTTTTTCATACCAAATAAATTGTTTTGGCCAATATTTAAGGATTTAAATATTTAAGGTTTTGAAGGAAAATTCCAAGTTTATGCATCATTATTAAGACATCAATATGGGCTTGGGAAAATGTTTTGGTGTTGCTTAATAATACTGGGAGTGTCTTCTAAAGAAAGTATACATATATGTACGTTGTGTGTTTATTTCTATATATTGGATTGGAATGGCTTCAAAGAAGGCCTGTTTGAAGTCAGCAAATTGATTTCAATTTGGGATTCTCTTTTAGCCTTACCGTTCTTGGGGATAAGAAATCTGGAGATGAACTGGCCTCAGAAACATTCAGGAAGATTACGATGGGAAATCTGTCATCTTGTAAAGTTGGATCATTTGGTGCTCTCTGAACTAAATTATGCTGACTAACATTCTGAGCATCTGAAAATCATTCTTCCTGGTTGCCTGATAGATGACCACACAGGAGTCATTTCTATCACATCTTATTTGGGGGTTGGTATAGACGCCACCAGCACTGCAGGGAAAACCACCCCCTAGGAGGGGTGAGACAGAGAGAATGTGAGATTTTGATCATTGATTGCTCTTTCTGAAAGGCACTGCTGACCATAGTAGGTGTGGTGAATGTTTGTGTCACTGCATTGGGTATTAGAACTTTTGCTCTGAGCATGGGCTGCCCTACCCTGAAGAGCTGAATCTTGGCTTCTGACAGAAGCTCTGCATGACTCATTCTCCTCAAGCATATTTTCCTTATTTTCCTATGAAAGTATCTATAGTTTGCAACAAGAACTGTCTTTGGTTCAAGTGTCAGTGTACTAGAATAGATGCTTTTCTGTGAGACCTGTGGAGGTTGGATTGGGGTGGGGGGTGTTCCTTCAAAGTACTTGGAATTCTTTATCAAAGAAATAAAACTCAGATTCTCTTCTTTCTAGTTTACTTCTAAGTTCCAAATTTAAAACAAGACCCAGTTTGACATTTGCAGTAGGAGATAATGTCTTGAACCAGTGAGCTTGGCTATCTTTCTTTCATCATAGGGAGGCAGGGCAGTAAGTTGTATTAATTTTTCCTAATCACCCAGGCAAATATTGCTTTTTGTTCAGTGTCGTGACCCACATTCATAGCTTGCAGGGGATACTTCTAGCTGACAAAGCTGGAAGTTTCTAATAGAAGATGTATCAAGATAACAGAGGTGAGGAAAGGCCTGTTGAACATCTACTTCTGAGAATCATTGAGGCACTCAGGTCTTGCTTTTCAGTTTAGTATCTTACAAAAGGAGTTGGTTTCTTCTCATTTTAGCAATGATAAATTTAGACATCTTTTTTGAAAGGCCAAAGGTAGATTGAGAGCTCAAATACTTACGGTGTACTCTGACAGTCTTTTATTCTATTTTTCAAGACTTATTTTATATATACATATTTTTTATTTCCATAGGTTATTGGGGAACAGGTAGTGTTTGGTTACATGAGTAAGTTCTTTGGTGGTGATTTGTGAGATTTTGGCACACCCATCACCCAGGCAGTATGCACCATATTTGTAGTCTTTTATCCCTCACTCCCTTCCCACACTTTCCCCCTGAGTCCGCAGAGTCCATTGTGTCATTCTTATACCTTGACATCCTCACAGCTTAGCTCCCACATATCAGTGAGAACGTACGATGTTTGGTTTTCTATTCCTGAATTGCTTCACTTAGAATAGTGGTCTCCAATCTCACCCAGGCCGCTTCGAATGCCATTAATTCATTCCTTTTTATGGATGAGTAGTATTCCATCATACATATATATGTTTGTGTGTGTGTGTGTGTGTGTGTGTGTGTGTGTGTGTACCACAGTTTCTTTATCTGCTCATTGATTGATGGGCATTTGGGTTGATTCCACTTTTTGCAATTGCAAATTGTGCTGCTATAAACATATGTGTGCAAGTATCTCTATCTCTTATGTATAATGACTTCTTTTCCTCTGGGCAGATACCCAGTAATAGGGCTGCGGGATTACTGACATTCTTTTACATGCAACATCCCTAAAACCCAACAAGACGTGTAAACACTGAAGTCCAAGTCTGATAATTATTCTTTCATTTAAGAAGAACACATGGGAGTTTCACATATTATTTTTAAAAACTAATTTTGTAATATGTTAAATGGTAGGACACATTCAATTTTTTTTCCTCATTGGAGATCTGTCCATGTTCTGTCTCAATTTAATAGCTACCTGGCATGTAACTGATGCCTCTGAGCCTACCTCTGGAGTGAATAAATAAACGTGGTCCAGGTGATTTGATTTCTGCCATTTGTAGTGGAGAAGTAAATCTCAGTGAAGAAGATTTTTTTTCATATTTCTTCTTTTTTCTTTTTCTTTTGGCTTCTATCCTCCTGCTTCCATGGGACTGACAATCCAGCTTCTCAAACTCCACGAAAGTCTTAATACAAGGTGAATCCCAGAGCCACAAACAGTTTGGACTTCAAACAGTGAGAAAATTGGACCGAATGATTCGGCACACAAAGCAGAAAACTTTCATTTCCTGTAGGCAGGATGGAATTGACTGTTATATTAAGACTTCTGAAGAAGCCCTGCCCTGGAGTAATTTCAGTGCTGTCAGACGATGTTGACATCTAGATTAACCTCTGTGCAGTGAATTTTACTGCAAAGCTCATTGAGATGCATGTGATGTGTCTCCACAAATCCCATCTGGAACCCGTGGTGGCCCACCCTCAGCAACCCTCCTCTCCCCACTGACTCTGCTTTCTCTGTCCATAAACTTTTAGCCTCCAGGAGCAGAGGAGCCGTGGCTGAGATCTGACCCTAGGAGAGGGAGTTTGGGCCTTCTCTGACCATGATGCTGAGCCAGGCTTTCTGCTTAGAGTGACAGAGATTGTCATTGTATTGGGTTTCCCCTGAGGGAACTGCAAATTAAGGCATGAAAAACACTCTGCTGATGACAGTTTCACAGCATATCTTAATGCTGCACAAAGTGAAATGGTTTAAAAGGAATTAGTGTGTCCTAAGTCATTGAGCCCTGCTCTGGGCTCTGCAATCCTCTAGGGATTCAAGATCCCATTGCAACAAGGTCATGACTGCGTCTAGGCCGGACAGACGGATTCTGAAGGACAAGGTGTTTGTCTTTTGTGCAGGTCTTTCCTATGGTCCTTACAAGAGAGGCAGCCACAGCTCCTGTTTCTCCCAACTGGGACAAAAGATGTAGCTGTTTTCTAAGCACTGGTTTGTCATCTCTTTAAGGAGTGGTTGGCTCCAGAATGAGCCAGACTCACTCTATAATTCCACATTGTGGCACAACAGCCACATAGAACCTCAAAGCTGAAATTGCAACTTTTCTGCAAAATAGGGCCATTGATTACATCCAAAGTTTTGAGAAAAGGCCTTCAGGTTAGATTCAGTCACCTTCAGACTCCACAGAGTTGCTCAGCATGGTTGCAGGCGTCTTTGGAAACTTACCTCAGGGTTTTAGAATACGTTACCCTGAAGTCTGGATAACAATTTTCTCTGAGATTTTACTGATTCTAATTCCCTTTGAAATTGTTTTTCCTACTTGCCTCTTGTCTTTCATTTAAATAATAAGAATCTCCTTGCATATTCTTAGGTATTTCTTTAGGAGAATTGGAAGTTTCCAGCCAAGGACACTGTGTTTATGAATTGGAAAGATATCTTTCTGGGCTGAAAAAGGTAAAAATCATACGGAGGCAATCTTGATGACTTTATTTAAAAGCAATTATCAGCATTGTGTTTTATTCTAGGTGCTCGTGCTCATAGTGCAAACTACATTCACGTTTTTAATTATTTATGTTATGATACTTATTCGTGTGTACATATATGCGCACACACACACACAAAAGCCTCCACAATCCTACTGGTATACAAATCCATATGCCCCATTTGTGTCGCTTCCGTTGATCTTTGTGTGCATGCATTTGCAATGAAGTGTGCATCACATGTGTGATTTCTTAAAGTCATCTATAGCTCATCTTTCCTCTTATTATCGACACATACCCTTTGACTTTCTGCACTTTGGAGCTCATGAAATTAAGGCTTTTTCAAGGGAGACTACATCTTGAGTTTCTTTAAACCTTCATATTTAAAGATAGGACTGGTTTTCTTCGAGAAACAAAAACTTGATTCAGATTTTATTTAATTAATTAATTTTCTGGGGGAAATGGTACTGAATTTGTTCCTGAGTAACAAATAGTAGTAAGTGCAAATATAAATGTGAAGTAGTTTAAGCAGGTTATTGAACCTATCTTGTGGCTGAAACAAGTAGTCAGATATGAAGCTCAGACACTCAAATTGAATTAGAACGTGAACCAAAACGGTTAGCATGGGGCAGGAGAAGAGCACTGGGCTAGGAGCAAGCCTGCTAGATTGTCACTTGAGTGTCCTTAGCTTAATGTGGGCATCTGACAACTAGTTGCAGTCCTGTGCCCCTCTAATTCCAGAGATGGGGCAAGCCAATCTGTTTCTCATCCATTGCTCAAGTTGGTTATCACTGAAATATTATATACCATCTCAAGATCCTGCCCTGAACAAGTTTGCAAACATCCCCCCCACACTGAGGAGTCAGTCCCATTTTTGTTTTATGGCAGTTTATCTCTTGTGACCCTCCTTTGGAAGCTGTCCAAACTCTGAACACTTGCTGTCCATTCCCTGCTCCCCACCCCACCCTTTAAGGCCAGGGAAAAGCCAGGGAAAGCCCTATTGGCTCATCTCCCTCTTTCCTAGCCTGCACATCAACCAAGCTTGGGATTTAGCCTAGGTTTTCAGAGAGGAAAACAAGTGCGTTCTCCCAGCCATCAGTATCTTTCCAGCCCCCTGGACCAAGTGATTAGTGCCTCATTAGCGCCTCATCAGTTGCTTTTGCACAAGAGACTCTGGGACAACAAGCCTATTATAATGCCTCAGTCTGTCTTTTTGAAGTCAAACCATCCTTCTGGCTTGGTTAGGAAAGGGGAGCCTTTCTCCAAACACGTTTTCTTTTAATTTCCTCTGTTGTTTTCTGGCTGTTAACTATATGGATAAATGGTAAAACATAATTTTCATTTTTTCTAGGCCCCTATGAGAGTGGATATGCTATATTTCTATAGATGAGGAGTTCCACATGTCAGCAAAGCATTTATTTATTTAGTGAAGTGACTATAATATTGACACACAGATTTGCAGCAGCATCCAAATCTTGAGGGGGAAAAAAAAGCCTTTTTCAATCAAATGAAACCTTTTCTGTGATGGCACCAGAGAGGTTTATATCTTAAGCACAGAACTGAACCTGATAATATGCTTCCTTTCTAGAAACAAAGAGATAGAAGAAATTGCTGAAGGAGCTGGAAGACCAAACCATCTATTCCCCAAATCATTATGTATCAATAGATACTTCAACTCTGTTCCTTAAATGGCTCTGAAAAACACAAATAACCATATTTACTATTAAAAACAAATTCATAATGTCTAACCCAATCCCTTATTTTAATATATATACATATTAAAATAATCCCATGTATATATGATTATTATTATATGGGATATATATAGTTTACATATATATAGGGGTGTGTGTGTATATATATATATATATTTACATATATATGTAAATGTATACTTTTTAATGCTGGGGATAGTTCCATATTGTTTCTTTTCTTGATTCCTTCTAATATATTCAATGAGATTTATAATTTTTTTCACTTTTATTTCTTTAGGAAAGAGTTGGGGTCTATTATGAATGCTTTCTAGGATAAAATGGCAAAACAGATGGAAAGTGTGGTAGAGGGAGGATAATGGGAATAGGAGGCAGAGAACTTGCACATTTCTATTTCCTGCTGAGAGATCTTGGAAAAACATTGTCTGCCCTTTACCTCAGTTTCTTAACATACAAAATAGAACTACTATCAACCCCCTGCATGCCACAGAGGGTTATTTGAGCCCTAAATGAGATCATAACTGTTAACATACTCTGTGAACTGTACAGGGCCAGACAAATAGAGCCCACTCTCTGGGCAGTTGCATACAGTCTTGCTGGGTGCTGAGCTGAGTGACTGAGAGCCGCTTTTGAGACACATTTTGAGGCATATCTTCCCTAAATTTTTGCTGGTGTCTGTTTTTTAGAAGTTTTGCCATTAGCATTTTTTGCTTTGAGTATCTAGTGATGGAGAATGCTCTAAAAAATACAAGGAGACAGGGGGATTCTTTATCTATTTGGCTTAGTCACTGGAAAGGGACAATTAGAGTTTGTTTTCAGGCTTGGAACTCTGACATTTTGTAGCAAAATGGCATCTTCTGCTGCATTTAATTCCTTGCCATCAACTCTTGCTTTCATAAGGTTCTGTCAATTTCAACATAATGCTTTGTAAAAATAGGACTCTGTGAAACTTTCTCTATAAATTTGGTGGTATAACTAATTTTTCAGGGAGCATCTGAAGGGATAATGATTTTTAAGTGGTACCCTGTTCATGCCAGGACCAGCATTTGTACATGGGAAAATAATCTTAAGATGAGTGAAGAGCAAATGCTAGACCACACCTTTAATAGGCCCAAGTGCCAACAAAAATACGTGTGAGTGGGATTCCCACGGAGAAATGTTTCTGAATGAAAATGAAACCCTTGATAATGAATCCTGAGGCCAGAATGCCAAAGTCACAGTATTCTGTCATTTACAGCCCCTAAAAAATCCCAGGTGTTTGTGATGACAAGCCACTATTATAAGTACTCTGTATTAGTGACTACTTGGCAAGTAAAATTTTCTCAAATGTTATTTTTCATAGATCTCCAAGCAACAATCACTTGCAGTGTATCTGACAAAATGCTATACATGATTTTCTAAAAGTATTTTGATCACTCCAGAAAGAAATCAGAATAAAGCTGCATACCCCAAATCCTAGAAAATTCACAAATATTTTGCTCAAGTTCAGGCTCTCTCAGCTTCTCTTTTCTCTTTAACTTTTGCCTCATACAGAGGCAATCTTGATGACAAAAGATTGGGCTCAATTTTTGTTTTTCTTGTGTAGAAAAGCAACACCTCTGTTTCGGACTACTGTTCAGTAGACAAAAAGCATCCCAGCTTTCGAAATGAGAGTCCAAATTGGGTTACCACTGAGATTTTAAATTATGATGTGAAATTGGAGAAGGTGAACTGTACAGGGCCAGACAAATAATAGAGCCCACTCTCTGGGCAGTTGCATGCAGTCTTGCTGGGTGCTGAGCTGAGAGACTGAGAGCCGCTTTTGAGACGTGTTTTGAGGCATATCTTCCTTAAATTTTTGCTGGTGTCTGTTTTTTAGAAGTTTTGCCATTAGCATTTTTCACTTTGAGTATCTAGCCATGGAGAATGCTCTAAAAAATACAAGGAGACAGGGGGATGCTTTATCTATTTGGCTTAGTCACTGGTTCAGGGTGAAGTTTCATAATTTATTCTGATAATCTGGAGGGGATGACCTCCTTCACAGTACTGTTAAAGCCTTCCTTGAACAAGCTCATTTCACTATATAACTTCCTAAAGACAAGGCTGATTATTTAAGGATTTCAGAGATATCATTTGGGGAATAACTCACCAGGTAGAGAAAGTTTGACCTGATATGTTAACAGGCACAACAAGAACTTATTTCAATGCTTTCTCACCATCTGCCCCTTCTCTGAGAGTTTAGCCTTTCTTAGGATACTTCCTTTTCCAGGCTAGAAAAGATTGATTGTATTCATATCCCAAAGTAAAGGCTCCTCCAATTCTATCAGATGTGGAGGCAACAGAAAATGACTCATGTTATTTTTCTCTCACTTCACAGCATCAAGAACTCTTCTTGTTTATGTGGGGGCCATGGTGGATTAGCTTGAGGAACTGTCAAATTAAAATGAAAGGAAAGCAAGTTGGGGCAAGAAAATTCTCACTCTGAATGTGAAAGAAAATAGCAGTGTTCTTCTCTCTGGCAAAGATTTGTGTACTGTTGGGGGAAGATTCATGTTATTTCTCAGGTAGACTTTACTTTTTGAGATTCTGTGTGTGTGTGTGTGTGTGTGTGTGTATGTGTGTGTGTGTGTGTGTATTTTGCCTGGTGGGGGGTTAAAGGCAGATAGAATGTAGTTGTTTATGAGTTTATACTTTCTCTTTAGCATAATAGATGCCCTGTTTATTTTCTCAGAATGTGACAATAAAATTAGGAAAGGAGAGGAATTCAGAGGCCCATGTTGCAGTTCATGGCAAAGTTTTACCCAAATATTTCCTTCAGAAACATTTAGTCATAGCAAGCCATATAAATTATTGTCTGCAACTGGTATCAGAAAAAGAAATCAGTAGGTGGGGACTGTAGACCCCAATGGTGCATCTGTTTACAATCTTTCTTTTCCAAGGTTTTAAGGTTCATGAATAACATGAGGGAATTTTGGGAGAGCTACCACATCAGTACTTTGGCACGCATTAACTGTTCCACAGGAAAACTAGGGTTGCTTCAGGGCTATTTTTGTTTGAAATGACACACATACAAAAAAAAAAAAAGACTTTTGGAACATGTTTTGAGGCCTGTCACCTGAAATCAGCCTTTGCTGAAAGAGTATTTAGTTTGATAAGCGGGATTTCTTGCTTCTCGCATCCCAGAGTGTAAATTCTGCAGCGAAGCCTGGGTGTATGTTTTCAGCACCAGGGACAGCAAACAACCCCCTGAATTGAAGGGGCCCGCTATCCTGATTGACCTCCCAGACTAGGAAGGGCAGTTGTTTTGTTTTCCTTTATTTCCTATCTACCGGAGCCTCAACTTGGAAGACTTTATTCTTAAGGTTCTTACATCTTTCATTTATTACCAAGCCTAGCTTAGCTGTCTCTGTCACATTCTTGACCTCCTAACAAATGGGTTTGGAGTAACACTCCCAGCTCTCCTGGCTCAGAGAAGTAGAAAGAAACACACTAGACTTCATTTGAAGGGCATGCTTTAGAGTAGGCTCCCCCTACACAAGTCTTTATAACATACCACTGACTTGTAAACCCCTAAATGAAGGACTGCTTATACACAATCATTTTCCTTTTAACATTTCTGCACATTTCTCACAATGTACAAGTCTATGTTTGACTCAGTGTGCATCTGGAGGCAATGTTTCACAGCAGTTGAGCAGAAGCTATGAAGTTTGGGGACAGAAAAGGTCCCAGTGATGCTGCTGTTATTCATTTTGGAGACTCATTGGGGGCACTTCTCTGATTCTCAGCATCCACCCTTCAACCCTGAGTGCTCTTTAACAGCTGTTTTTGCCTTAAACAATCACAATAAGAATGCAAATGACTCCTTGTGGCATTCTTCAGGCCAGACTGAAGGGTGTACTGAGAAAACAAGGGTAGCAGAAGCACATGTTGTCACATTGCTTTGTGATTGGCCAGTTTTTATATAGCACAATGACACACAGATATCATCTTAGAGTCATCATTGTCTACTCTTAACTAATTGTCAGCATCTTCTCCACTCATGTCAGGATGAATCCTGTGTTGGGAAGGCAAGTCAGTCACTGCAGGTTTCATCATAAATATTGCCTTCTATCTGACAGATGTTAGAAAACCTCCATTTTGAATGCCTCTGTACCATCCAAGGCTCTGAATTTCCCCTATATCTTATCCCTTTCTTTCCATTCCCTTTCCATGTTGCTTATCATAACATCCATAACATTTAGTGGTGTAAGAAAATAAGGGGTTTCTTTTAGGAATAAATGAGGTGGAAAAAGTAGGACAGAGCCAGATCTCAGAGGAGCAAGTTCAGTGGAACGATGATTTCTAACTTGGGAGTGGGTCTAAGATGTAGCCATCCATTCCTTCCATTCCTTGTCCTCTTGAGTGAATCTCATTCCAGTGCTCACACTTGCCCTGCAAAAAAGGCCATGGCACAAGATTCTCTAGATTATTTGTATGAAGACTGGAGGTGAGCAGCATCCAACACCTCTGTTAGAGTTCTTTAGAATAGAGGAGTTTTGTCTTATATTTTAATCCAGGAACCTTCCCATATTTAAAAAGTTTAGAAATAATATGTACAGAAAGGACCTATGGGGATAGGAAAGCTTAATAATACAAGTTATTTTCCCTTAGAACAGAGGGGAAGGAGCTGCAAAGTGACTGCTAATGGAGGAACGATCTGCTGGCTGGGGGAAATGTGGCCTGAGACTAGAGATGCAGAGCAGGCATCTCTAGAAGGAGAGATGATGCCAATAGAAGCCCCAGGAGGGAACTGGCCAGCGAATACAATTTTATAAAGATTCTCAGTACTTTTTCTGAAAAAATTCCTAAAATTTTCAAGGGCGCGTCTAGCCCTCTGCCTCTTTAGAGGTGAGCTCAGTGCTACTTCTGGGTTCTTAAGGCAAATGCCCTACAAACACCAAAGTCTTGTATTTTCCACTCTCAGCCGGCACTGGCTAAGTGGGATTTTTTTTTTCCCTTCCCTAAGTGAAAGGGACTTGTTTTCAGGAGAAGTGTCCTTTAAACATCCAGCTAAAACTGGAAGTAATTTTTTGCATGAATGGCTTTTTACAGCTAGGTCTACAGCAGAACAAAACTTGTATTAAACTAAGTGCTACTTTACATATCTTATTTCAAGGGAAATGAAGGATTTATTGTCGTGTAAATGATATACACTGATTTGTTTCCTACTGGACATTACATGTCCCTTTATCTCTAGGCTGATGTTGTGCAGCAAACTTTCAATATCTGGAAAATCAGCTGGTACCTACTTCAGTGCATTATTAGGATATTACGTTCCCTGAGAGGAATTTTGCCAATGAAGTTTAGGTACTGTTGTAACTGATTTCCATCCCCCCTCCCTAAGCTTCTGTACTAAGTATATGTAAAGCTATTATATCTTGTCTGATCCCATGTGTTCATGTGTGTTTCCCAATGTTTGCATAAATATATTGGCAATCTGAAGGGTTAGCTGGCTTATGGCAACTGCTGAACAATGGTATGTTTGGCATGTGGGACACCTGATACCTGGGCACACCTGTTCTGAGGCCAAGCTAATTTTACAGATTTTGGAAAAGAAAAAACAGCAGCAACAACAACAGTGTGGCTTGAATTAAGGAAAGTTTAACAATGAATACAGTATTGCCAAGTCATCATTTATGGGTGGAGACGTTGACCACAGCAGTTGAGGTGCTTTCAACTGGATCTTATGCCCTTTATTTTAATCCCAATTGATAGTTCCTCATTTGTATTTTATGACTTAGAAATACTCCTACGTGATGCTCGTTTGTTTTTCTCCCAGGCTTCTGGAAAGTGCTGATCATGATTGCTTCCTATCATTTGGATCCCAAAGTTGATAACTTAACATAAGTGACTGAGGTTTTAGTAGAACTGGGTTTTACTAATCGTATCTCCTCCTTGAGGTGCTGTTCCCTTCATTCCTTTCCTTTATGACAGGTGAATGCATTGGCTATGCTGATTTTATTTGCATCCTGGCGAGTCTTGGAGAATCAATCTCGTTAAAATGATGACTGCATTTGCCTTTGGAGAAGAGGTTTATTGTCTAAGTAAAACTCTTATGTGAAGGTGTCATTTATGTAAAAAAAAAAAAAAATTCTAACTTGATAAGATGGCCACAGGTTAGAGGGGTGTGTTCTCAGTTGATATTAAGGGATATGTTGAAAAGGCAAGTGCCCACCCTCTATTCTTCATCTCACCCTTCCTTTCTCCCCAACCTCAAAAGAAAACAAAAAATTATTTTTTTAAATTGTATTAGTAATTTATGTTTAATACAAAAGGATGATTTAATGGTATCACCAAAGGTTGTTTCTCCCATTGTGCATGTCCTTCAGTCTCGGCCCCATACCCATCACCCCATTCTTCACCCTCATGCTTCCATCCCAAGGCAAACATGTGTCTTCATCGGAATCTATGGGTGTTGAAGTTAAATGTGGGGGCAGAGATTTAACACCATGACACTAATACAAATCAACCATTCTTCACTTTCAAATGGTTAATCACTACAGGAAGGCGAACTCTTTTCTTGGTTTTTGTTTAAAAACATTTTATACATATATATGTATATATGTGTGTGTATGTATGGACATAGGTATGTATATGCACATGTACATGTATATATGTATATATCCATCTTCAATATAAATATATCATAAGTGAGAGTTGTAAATACTCCTTGGTCATATGTCTGTCTTTCTCATAGTATCATATCTTCAATGTTATGTTAACAACTCCATTTATTGATTGATGAAATCGTGTGTAGACCTGTATCCTCCTGACATAGTTTATGTAGGGTCTCTTCTCAAATAAAGTATAAAACAACAATGTCCTTGTTTTATTTGGATTCATTATGTAATAGGGAAGTATGTTGAATTTAAATGTAGTTTGAAAGTTTGGGAAAGTTCGAATGTGTGCAAAGATCATGAGATCCAGTATCAACTCGAGAGACTGAACCTTGCTTTTCTGAGAGGAAAAGGAGATTGCACAATTTTTAAGGTAGCCTATAAGTTAAACATTGGATGGAAATGAGTGTTGTAAGGGGAACATACATGCAATTATTATTTGAGACTGAGTCCCAAGGAAAAGATTGAATATCTCCAGCTCTGTGTCTTTGTGATATCCTGTTACTCCTGATATGTTGATATTCAACTTCCCAGTTATAATCATTTGAGTAAGCTCTCAAAGTAGGATAAAATATGTTCTTTTGAATATCCATTTACCCCAAAGATTTTATTATCCTTTAGCATAATTAATTTAAAACTCTTTCCCTCTCTTCTCTTTTCATTCCAATTTCTCTCTCTTTGTCTACATATTTTCTGCTTTATGTCATATAATGTGTTTTCCTTAATAACATTTCACTGCTTATTTTCGTTAATTTATTTCAAAAAGATCGATGGGTTCTAGGATAAAATGTGGAAGAGAGACAGGAAGCACAGATTGCAATTCCACTAACAGGAGTTCAACAGAGATGTAGAAAGGTTTAAACAGAGTTTTTCCATTATGGCACTGTTGACATTTTAGACTAAATAATTCTTTGTTGTAGGGGGCTTTTCTGTGCATTCTATGATGTTCATCAGCATTTTTATTAGTGCATTAGCAGTCCTTCTCTGCCTCCTCCACCCCCACCCTACTAGGGTGTGAAGACCAAAAATGCCTCCAGACATTGCCAGGTGCTTCCTGGGGGGAAAAATTGCTGCACTTGAGAAACACTTGCTTAAGCTTTTACATCTTGCCACACAGTATTAAAAGACGAATCAAATTCAGGAAATATAAGAGCCCCTGGTCATGCTCCAGCCCTTTCCAGACCAGCCGCTTGGCTGTGCCATATGGTAAACTTGCTGCTGCTTTTCTTTAAGCACACTTCTCTTCAAAGCCCATTGCTGAGAATCAAGTTACAATACTACATTTGGGGTTTAGACAGTGATAGAAATAACTTCTTCATCTACATGGATCAAAAATGTCTTCATCCCTAGAATATTTGTTCATATCACTTAAAAATGTGTAATTTTTGTGTGGTTAAGTCCTTTGGGTCTGTGTGAGAAGAAACTCAAACACTCTTTTTAAAGATGATGTCCCTGTGAAAGATGCTGGCAGACCTAAGAGAGAGAAACCTTTGGTTTTCAATGGTTCCAACGTATTTTCCACCTGCCGCAGAAAGTTACATAAATTATAGGGTCATAAGTAGACCTTGTGTAGGCCTGGGATATAAGTCTCCAGTATAGAAACTCCTTTCGATGAGTAAGTAGAACTTGCATTAACTTGGTCCAGGCAAAAGTCAATGTTCTCTGTACAATGCTATGAACACAGTACACATTTAATGGACGTTTGCTGCATTGCACTGGATTTCTCATTCTCCAAGCCCCAGATTATTTGTACAACACTCAAAGTACCATCATTATGCCACCTCTTCAACTCACTCATGGAAACACTCAGGATCCAAAATTCTGAAAAACCTGACAGCATGTTCATTATGAAGGAAATATCTCTTCTCCCCAGAATGTGGCTACCTTTGCATCAGTGGCTTCCTATGACAGCCAGCGAGAGCAGAATTAGGCTGCTTGAAGGCAAAAATAGGTGTTTCTCAAGGTAGGATTTTGGATGTCCCCTGAAATCTAGGCCTAAGTCTTGACCTTTGTATAGTCTACTCCAGTGATGGCTTGAGACCAAAGCACTGTGAGAGACTTCTGGTTCCATCCTACATAGCCTCAAACCCATCTTTCTTCAGGAAGTCCTTCCAATGCCACACAAAGGCCAAGGAGGCTGTGGAGGTGTGCAGCTTCACTTTAGACTGTCCTCATGCCCTTGTGACTCATGATTTGACATTTAATTTGAGATGACAATCCAAGGACTGGAATAAATTATGGCCTCCTAGGTCTGGAAGGTCCTTGATTGATAATCTCATTCAACTACCTGCCTGTGGCCAGGGTTCTCAGGTGCATAAGAACTGGGAGAATCTCCCAAATAAAGGCATCTTCCAGTGCTGGAGGGCATGGCTGGTAAAATAGTCTTATAAAGATCACTTGGTCCTAAAATATCAGCATCTCAGTGGTGACACAAAAAAGCTGGGGTTTAAGGAAGATACTTTAGAAATAGCAACTAGCCATTGCTGAGAGTGAACCTGGAGGCTGTTCATAATGACACTGAGAGCAGAAATGCCAAGAAGGTGCTCATTTGACACAGGGCAGAGGTGGAAATTAATCTGAAAGTTGATGTCCAAGGTAGGGGTCGCTCTTTAAAAAAAAAATAAGTAATTAAGTTAAATTAAAATTTACTTTTTTTTTTTTTTTTTTTGAGACAGAATCTCACTCTGTCACCCAGGCTGGAGTGCGGTGGTGCGATCTCGGCTCACTGCAAGCTCCATCTCCCGGTTTCATGCCATTCTCCCGCCTCAGCCTCCGGAGTAGCTGGGACTACAGGTACTCGCCACCATGCCCGGCTAATTTTTTGTGTTTTTAGTAGAGACGGGGTTTCACCATTCACAGGATGGTCTCGATCTCCTGACCTCGTGATCCACCCACCTCAGCCTCCCAAAGTGCTGGGATTACAGGCATGAGCCACCACGCCTGGCCTAAAATTTACTTTTTAAGAAACAGGGTCTCCACTGTATTGCCCAGGCTGGAGTGCAGTGGCACAGTGATAGTTCACTGCAGCCTCCAACTCCTGGGCTCAAGTGATCCTCCTGCCTGCTTCAGCCTCCTGAGCAGCTAGTATCACAGGTGCATGTCATCACACCTGGGCTAATTTTTGTTTTATTTCATTTTATTTGTACTTTTTGTAGAGATGAAGTCTCACTATGTTACCCAGGTTGGCCTCAAACTCCTGGCCTCAAGCTATCTTCCTGTCTGTGGTAAATCTTGTTATGGACTTTAGATAGATATAGGAGTGAGCTCCCAAAAATACTGCCTTGCTTAATCTTCTCAGGACACATTTCCTTAGTATTTCAAGGCATGGTGGGCTTCTTGTGCTGGGCCATGACCTATTCTTTGCTCCTATTGGGATGCTCAAAATTACTTAGCTATTAACTAGGGAGATGTTCTATTTTAACCTCTCTTTTCCCCCATGTTCTGAATTGTTCAAATCTCCGATGCAGGGCTCAGCAGAGGATCTAATTACTGCCCTGCTTGCCACTTGCTGATTAGCTTCAAGAGCCAGGGAATGACTTTAAAACAGTTAAATATCAAGAGGCAGCTTCTTTAAAAATTCTACAGGAGTCTCAGTCTTACTAAGGGAAGCTGGATGGTATAGTCTGAGAGAGTTTGCTGGATAAGGCCGTCTTCTAACTACACATCATTGCCAGATACTCAAGGCTCAGGAGAAAGCCCTGCTTTGAATTAAATAAGGCGATCTTTATGAATGTCCTAGTCACAGTCCTTTCCTCATCAGAATCTTGAGAACATTCACCACCCCTCTTGTCACTCAAGCTCAAGCAGTCTTAGCTGACAAATGCTAAGATATAATGGAAAGAGGCAGTGGAAGGAAGAAGGTGCAGAACATGATCACGAGCATCCATATTCAAATCAAACATCACTATTTGCCAAGCTCTCTGCTAAGGGCTCAACATGAGTTAATACTCTTAATGGGGTCAGGTACTAACAATATTACTGTTGTATAAATGTGCTAATCATGCCTTAGAGGTTTATATAATTTGCCCAAGGCCACCCAGTTTCTTGAGGCAGAGCCAGGGCTTAAACCCTGCAATTGGGTTTAGTACACATGGTCTTAATTACCACTCTATAGCTCTCTTACATGGATAGAAGCTCCTGTCTAAAACAACAGTGGAGGGTTTTAGGCTGAGGAAAACAGAGCAGAGATGCAGTTTGGAAGACATATCTTTTTTGGGATAATTATTCATTTATCTACTTATTCATTCACTCATTTATCCATTAATTCATTTGTGTAATCAATCAGTTTAGGAGTGCTTTTAAGGTAGATGTGGCACAATGTGCTGAAGCCTGAAGATGTAAAAGCATTTAAGATCCCCTGTCTCCACACCATCTTCCCTGCCTCGTACTGGGAATCCCACAGTGAACAGAAGAAGGAGTAGGGTGCTAAGAGCAAGAGTATAAGATCAAATGGAGGGGCAGTATTTCTGTCCATGACTTGGATGTTGGCTAAGGGAAGAGTGTTGGGTAAAGAGAATCCCCTGGGCTTCTCCCAGAACAGAGCCAAGTTCTCACCCACTGTGACCTTGGGCTATGCATAGCAAGTGCTAGGGTTTTGAGATAACACCTAATCAGAGTTCAGTAGGAGTCTTTGCCTTCTGCTGAATTTCATGCTAGGTGGGAAGCCAGACTCTTCTCCCAAGCCGTATGCACACATTGACTTAGAGAGCAGGGAAATGTCTCAATCATGGTCTGACACCCTTAAGTCACTGCTCCAGAGACATACTGGCCCTGCTCATTTTCTACCTCTGTGAGATGCAACAAGCCAGTGTGTCCTGATACATAGCAGAAAGCCCCACTGGCAGAGTTATGCTCAATAGGGCCGATCATAAATATGGTTTATGGAGTTAGTTCATTTACTGCCTCTGATGCTGGCCCCAGCTGCCACGAGTTTGACTGACAATTTCTGTTTATTTATTTCTCACTATATAATATCTGACTTCACATTATAAATTCTTCTGATTGGAATTTCACGCCATCTGCTCCAGTATTTAGTGATGGCATGCTAATCAGGGACTCAGTCTTTTTTTTGGGATGAGCTGGACTCTGAGCTCTTGGTTGTGCCTGTGAGGGTGAGGCTAGGGCCCTGTCACCCCTAGAGAGGGATATTTTACTGTTGTAAAAATCCTCTTGTGCCTTTTGATAGACAGTCCTCTATATATTAGAGATATGATGGTCACCTATGATGGATAACTTGTGATTCAGAACCAGCAGAAGTAATCGGCAAAGAGCAACTCAGAGTCAAAGTGGTGTGTGACTATTTAGAAGAGGGCTGGAGGGGAGAGTATGGCACACCAGTTTTTGCCTAGATAGATGATGGCTACCATGTCCTTTTCCTTATTACTTCTGTTCTAGTCCGTAGGTGAAGCAAAATGACCACTTAGTCAAAGGTTGGACAAAAGACCCCAGGAGAGTTCTGAAGGTGTTTTTTCTCACCCTATAAATGTAGGGCCTTTCATCCAGGAATGATTGGATTGATCATAAAATGTTTTGAGAAAAACGGTGATTTTTAAAAACACTGGATGTATATTGCTCACAGGAATTTTACATTTTCTCTAGAGAAATGAGGTGATAATATTGTTTGTGATTTTTTTTTTCCAGTGCCATCAACCACTGTTAAGACCCCCCTCTGTCTCACTCTGAGTCAGCTTTGTCTGCACCAACTCCTATAGTCCAGTACTGCAGGACTGATATGGCCCAGCCTCTGGCTTTACCTGCTCTGGCCCCTTATCAGTCCTAGAGGAAGAAAATGACATTCATTAAGCACCTCCCATGCACCAGTTGGGCAGGTCAATAAACCTTCATCATAACCACTCCTCATGAGTTACATATTTTTGTCTTTACTTTGCCAGGTGAGAAAACTGGGGTTTGGAGAACCTAAGTCTTAGAAAGATTAACTTCCTTCCCAAAGGACACAAAGCAAGTTTGAGTCAGGGACAAAATTTAACCTTATGTCTCTCTGACCACAAGCAAATTTTGTTTCTACTTGGTATTCCCTGTGAGAATGTTTAAAGGAAAGGTGTTTAAAGAAGGTGATGACTTCTACAGCATCACCTTATTCCCCAAACCACTAGGAAAAAATATAACTCTCATTATCCCAACATCCTCCTCATCCACTGGGGACCTTGGGCAAGTCAGTTAGCTTCTGTGCGTCTCAGTTTTCTCATTTATAAAAAAGATTGTCATACCTACAGCCTGTTGTTATAGTACCAGGTCATGTGAAGACATGCACTAAGTGTTTAGTGCAGGGTCTTGCACTTGATAGTCCCTGAGTAAATGGTAATAATCATTTGCCATCATCATCACCATCACCATCATTATTATCATTACCAGTTGTCTTCATCCTCCTCCTCGTCATCATCATGTCATCATCAATATTATAATCATCATGATTCTTTTATCTTCTTGAGAGTGGCCTATCCTTTTACTGAGAATTAAATGTGTCCCTGATGGGGTTCTGGGAGGCTTTTTCTGAATGAAACAGAACTGGTGAGCCAATGAGAGCACTAAGATTACATTATTGATTTGTGTCTCCCAAGGCCAAGCCCTATTAAGATTCGTTAAATCAAACAATAAAAATCCCAGCTTCCACACTTTTCCAATCATGGATCAAATTCAATCCATCTCTCCCCAGCTTCCCCCAGCCTGGTCATGGTTATTTGTCTCTAACTGTCACACAAGGAGAAGGTCATTAACAGCCACTAAATAGATCCAGGAATAATAGCAGCCCACTGAGCTTTAAAACTAGAATACATTTCACAAAAGTAAAAATTTGTCCTGCTGTTAATATTTGAGCAATAGAAAGAGACATTGAAGAGTGGCATCTGCCATTTTAGGGTCATCTGCTCGTTGCTTAGGTGGACTTTATTAATCCCATTTTCCAATTGAGAAAACTGAACTTCAAAGAGGTTAATTGACTCGTCTAATGACACCAGCTCATAAATGGCAGAGGTGAAATATGAACCTAGGTTCATCTGACTCCGAAGCCCATGCTATTTTGACAATGTTCTGCTGCTTTTGTAAACTCACAAGGACTTACAGATACATATACAACGACACATGTTCATATACACATTATAGTTTCTCCGAAGACTTCTCAGGGCAGTCGGGTCAGGGTTAGTTAGATGAACTTGCAAAGCAAGAGACTCCAAGGCCAGGGCCACCATTCCCCTCCCGTGTGGTGTCTTTATAGGCCAGAAACAGAAACTTTTCCCCAAGCCTGGAGTCATGGTCATTATGCCCTGAGACCTTGAGAGCAAGGATAAAGAGTCTGGAAAGTATGATTTCCATCTTATTCCTATCCCTTGGCAAATGTCTTACACCATTCACTTTACTGATCTTAAGATAAGAGCATAGCAAGATGATATTCTGTACTACTAACCTGAATGGACGAATGGACAGCAGACAACCCACATTGGGTGTATTTGAACTATGGCCACTCTTTACCAATAAAACAAGACAAAATAGCAAAGCCTTTCATTTCACACCATGAAGGGCATACTCATTACCAGGGGATGCTCTAATCCAATGCCCACATCAAATTCTCTGGCCCTGGAGGTGGAAGTTGGCCTTCTCTCACACTTTTATCTTGGCACTGTGTTTGGAGGACATGTTAATATGAGGCATAAAAGAAGGCAAGCAAAATACATACTTGCAATTAAAAAAAATGACAGGATGCTGCTTTTCCCAGGAAGTGTCAAGGATTCGTTTAAAAAAAAAGGTGAACAGGGCAATGTCAACAACAAACAAACGAAAACAGATGAAACAGTAAGAGTCAGTGAAAGACAAGGTTGCCCCCCAAATAAATTTAACTTTGCAATAATTTGAGGTTAGAATAGATGAGGAAATTGCTTGCATTCACACAGCGGTTCAAAAAATTACCATTTTACTACTAATAATAGTTCCAGGGATAATAATAGAAGTATTATCATTATGTTATTATGACTATATTAACATTAAAACTCTACCGTCTATTGACTAAGACAGACATTATTATGCTCATTTTAAAGACAAAGTCACTAAAGCTTAAGGAGATTAAAAGAATTGCCCAAATCTACTCAGCTACTAAGGTGGAGTCTCTCAATCTTGGCATTATTGACACTTAGCATAAGATAATTCTTTGTTCTGGGAAGCTGTCCTGTGAGTACGTGGTTTGGCACCAGACTGTGCCATTGTAAAATGGCACAGCATCCCTGGCCTGTACCCCCTAGATGTCAGTAGCACCTGCCAGTCATGATGATTAAAATGTCACTGGACATTGTCAAAATTGGCCCCAGTTGAGTTGAGAACCACTGCTGTTAAGAGATGGAGTTGGGTTTCATGCCCAGGTCTACAGACTTTCTAATCCAAGGTCATTATGCTGCTTAAAGGAGTCATAAACTAAGACAGAATTTATGCACAAAAATAGTGCGATTAAGCACAGGTAAGGAATCTCCCTCTAAAAAGAGAAAGAATCTGAAAACAACTTACTAGCAGGAAAAAAGTAAGGGCTGGGGTATAACTTTATGTTATAAACTCTCAGAGTGGTGGTTATAAAACTATAAATTCTGGCGGAGTTGCTATGGTCTCTGTCCCTCCCCTCAGCCCTTAGAAGTAATGCTGGAGAAAGAATGTCAATTGGAAAAAAAATGCTGAGATTCGCAGAGAAGTGGCTTGAGGGAGCTCAGGAAAGCTGTGGGCAAATCCTCTAGTGCAGAGGGCCCTGCTGACTTTGTGAGGCTCTCATCAAAGGCAGCAATGTTGGTTAGAGCTCCCCTCGGTCTCATGGCTCCAATCTGTCTGGGGACAGATCCAAGCACACCTCTAGCATATCCAGTTCATGGCTGGGATATCAGCCAAACAGTCCGTCAAAGGACATTTGCATCAAGCCAAGTCCTCCAGAATTCCGGCCCCCACTGGGCTGTCCCTCTTTCCTTCCCAGATTTTCTCAGACCACAGAAAAACTGATAGCACACAATACTCAACCCTCAAACTTCTGCTGAGACATAAATGTTTCAGTTAAGGTGGGAAGAATGTCAAAGAGAATTCACCCACTATGGATCAGGATAAATAGAAAATATGGATCCAATTGCTCATGTTAAGAAAGAGCTAGTAAAAGAAATGTAATAATGAATATATATATCATATTATATATAATTTTGTTATATATAATATAGATTATACAATAAAGAGAAATGGAGAAATGATGGATAAATAGATAGTTGGGTGGAAGGAAGGAATAGAGCATTCAAAACATATTTACAGAACAGAATCTGGAATAGAAAACAAGAAGGAAATCCTCCTGAGTCCTTGAAGGTATAGAACAAAATAACGATAGAAATTTAATAAAATGAGCTTTATAATCAGGTTATAACCAGCCGACTGAGAAAGAAAAAAATCACAAGAAATTAAGAAAGCAAATTAAAGACCAATGACAGTATCCTTTCCTGACTAACAAATAAATAAAAAACAGCAAAAAAAATAAGAGACATGGTCA
This sequence comes from Homo sapiens, assembly GCF_000001405.40. Classification (NCBI taxonomy): domain Eukaryota; kingdom Metazoa; phylum Chordata; class Mammalia; order Primates; family Hominidae; genus Homo; species Homo sapiens. The sequence goes on along the minus strand of NC_000015.10, from coordinate 87,850,438 downwards.
AAAATGAAATTACTGACTCAGAGAAGGAGCTTGAAGAGCTTACCATGCACACAAAGAAAAGGAGTTTAAATCAGCTACAGATAGGAGAATGGATATAGGTGCCACAGGTAATTCAACCCAGGTTAATTGATGTCCTTTAAGAAGATAATCCAACAAATGGAATGGAGGTAGTATTTGAAAATGCAATAGAAGAAAATTATCCTCAAATTTCAGAAGAACTGAATTTACATATGCAAAGATTAAAGTGTATTCCAGAGGAACACAAAGACATTTTCTGCCTAAGTTATTAAATTGTGTATAATAAAGAAAGAATTTGAGGCAGCCGGTCTCCCTCCCAGGGTAAAAATTAGTCTGGTTTTGTATTTTTTCACAGCAAAATCAATGGATAGGGACAATGAGACTGTCTACAGTGATCAATGGGAAAGAAAATATGCCACAAGGATATCATAAGCAGCTTTGCTGAAATTCAAATTCATGTCACCATCAAGTTGCCTAATAGACTCTACTTAGAAACTCTTTGAAATGAGATCTGTTAATCCCAAAGTTAAACCTATAACTATCATTAAAAATGGACATGCGAGGCTGGCCGTGGTGGCTCATACCTGTAATCCCAGCACTTTGGGAGGTTGAGGAGGGTGGATCGCCCGAGGTCAGGAGTTTGAGACTAGCTCGGCCAACATGGCAAAACCCTGTCTCTACTAAAAGTATAAAAATTAGCAGGGCATGATGACCCAATCCCAGCTTCTCAGGAGGCTGAGGCAGGAGAATCACTTGAGCCCAGGAGGTGGAGGTTGCAGTGAGCAGGCCATTGCACTCTAGCATGGGCAAAAAGAGTGAAACTCCATCTAAAAAAAAAAAAAAAAAAGGACTTGCCACTTAAACCCCTGTGTTAGAAGACTGTTAAACAATTGCTACTGGATTTACAAGCAAACAAACAAAAAATGCATGCCTTGAGAATTTTATAAGTCCAGGCAAATTGGATACAAAGTTAAAGGACAGACAGGGTCACTGTGTGACCCCTTCTCTCTCCGCCTCTTCCCACTGCCCCCACCAAAACCATGAAAACAGCTCCAAGATAGGAGAACATGTGGGGATTAGTCATAAATACTTTTAAATATTGAATACAATCCAAGTCATGGTTATTTAGATTATTTTAGAAATAATGGTTTAAAATCAAAAGAATATGAAAATTGACAATATAAAATTATACTGTAATTAACAAAAATCGGTAAGAGACAACATAAACATTTCTTCATTTCTCCTAGCAGGGTGTTAGTTAATAGTATCTAAGGCGAAACAAGTAATTTGAAAGTGACTCCATATTTTCTTTATCTATTCATCCATTGATGTCTTGGCTAATGTGAAAAGTGTTGTAATTATAGTGCAGATATCTTTTCCACATGCTGATTTCAATTCATTTGTAGATATATCCAGAAATGGATTTGCTGGATCATATGATAATTATATTTGCCTTTTGAGGGACTGCATACTTTCTCTACAATGTCTGCACTAATTTACCTTCCCACCAATAGTGTAGAAGGATTCCACTTCCTCCACATCCTCACCAATGCTTATTTTCTGTTGCCTCTGTGATAATAGCCATTTTCACAGGTGTGAGATGATGTCTCATTGTGATTTCAATTTGCTTTCCCCGATAATTAGTGATGTTGAGCATTTAAAAAATAAACCTATTGGTTTATTTCTGTGCCTAAGCTAGGCACAGAAAGAGAGATATCCCATGATCTCACTTATATTTGAAATCTAAAAATGTCAGACTCGTAGGAGTAGAGAGTAGAATGACGGTGACCAGAAGCTGAGGTAGGGGATGGGGTGGGCAATGGAGAGAAGTTGACCAAAGGGCACAGAGTTCCATTTAGACAAAGGAATAAGTTTTCAAGATCTATTGCACAGCAAGGTGACCCTAGTTAATAATACTGTGTTAAATATTTCAAAATTGCTAAAAAAGGGTTTAAATGTTTTCATTACAAAAAATAAGCATTTGAGGTGATGAATATGTTAATTAGCTTGATGTAATCATCCCACAATGTATACATATGGCAAAATATCACAATAAACCCTATAAATGTACGTAATTATTATTTGGCAATTAAAATTTAATAAATTTTAAAAAGACACAGGAGACATATAAAACTGACTCTGACATTTTCATGTTTTACATAATCTTTTATATCAACAATGTATTAACTTTTAGGCATTATTGTGCAATACTTTTTATGTCTCTGATTTGGAGACATAGAGAGATGCAACTGAAACATAAAATGTGTGTGGCCTTTGGAGTTTTACAGATCTGGATGCACCTTGCATCTGACACTTGACTAGAGGTTCATTAGACAAGGTCCCAAAATCTAAGTCTAAAGTTTCCTTATCTGTAACAAGGGAATAACCACACCTACTTAGCAGGGTTGCTTTGAGTTTGTGATGTCATGTCCAACACCGTGCCTAGCATTGGTCAGAGTTTTTTTTGTTTTTTTTTTTTGAGACGGAGTCTCGCTCTGTCACCCAGGCTGGAGTGCAGTGGCAAGATCTCGGCTCACTGCAAGCTCCACCTCCTGGGTTCACGCCATTCTCCTGCCTCAGCCTCCGAGTAGCTGGGACTACAGGTGCCCGCCACCACAGCCGGCTAATTTTTTTGAATTTTTTAGTAGAGACAAGATTTCACCGTGTTAGCCAGGATGGTCTCGATCTCCTGACCTCGTGATCCACCCAAAGTGCTGGTCCCAGGTATTTCCGCTTGGTGAGAGCTTCCAGAAGCAGCATGCAGAACAAAAACAAGCATAGCCTGTTAGACTGATGGAGACAGGGGCAGCTTTCAGGGGCTGGGCAAGGGGCCCAGTTCCGCCCCAGCAGCTGGTGTGAGGTGCAGAGCCAGTGCTGAGCAAGGGTCCATCCCACCTGACCCTAGGTGCACTTGGTTTCCGTGACAGTTGTTTTATCAATAATATTTATGAAGTTAAGGAATTTAAAGAAAAACAAAAATGGATTAAATCATCTTTCGTGTGCCAGGTATGTTTATATTCTGTGCATCTCATTTAATTGACATTAATGATAATAGTCATTTAACAATAACTATTACCTTTATTTCACACATGAAACAGCCACAGCCCAAAGAAGTTAAGACACTTGTATAATGTCTCAAAAGTGGTGAGTGCCTGACACCTTTTTGCTGAACTGAGGCCTGCCTAACTCAGCGTCCTCTTCACTGTGTCATCATTCCTACCTGTGATGATGGGATTAAAAACCAAATACAGTATAAAGAAAATGTAGTATATCCATACAGTGGAATAGTATTAGACATAAAAAAATGGAAGAACTGGCACATGCTACAAAATGATTAAACCTTGGAAACATTATGCTAAGTGAAGGAAGCCAAACACAAAAGACTACATATTGCACGATTCCATTTATATGAAGTGTCCAGAATAGGCAAATCCACAGAGACAGAAAGAGTAGTCGCAGCCAGGGCCTGGAGGAGGGAGAAGTGAGGAATGACTGCTAATGGGCATGCGGTTTCTGTTTGGGGTGATTCAAAGAGTTCTGGAACTAGACAGTGGTGATGTTTGCACAACATTGTGAATGTACTTAATGCCACCAAACTGTACACTTTAAAGTGGTTAAAATGGTAAATGTTATGTGTATTTTACCACAGTGAAAAGGTAAAAAATATAATCCACTGTTGCCTTGCTGGGGCAGGGGGACAGCACTTCCGGGCATCCATAGCCCCTCCTCAACTCTGCACCCCTCAATCACTAGCTCTGCTCAAAATTCTCCTTCAGGCCTAGAATAACCCAACACTAATGAATGGAAAGTGGTGACAATTGTCTTTTTAAAACCCAACCACCCTTCACACACACATGCAGATGTATGGTTTCCATGTTTCCTATATGAATACACGAAAACATGAATGAAGGTATAGGTGATGTGGAGGGAAACTTCATTCATTCACACTAATTACCATAATAAGAGCAAATACAATTTGAGTGGTCACTGTGTGCTGGGCATGATGCAAGGTGATCTGATGATAAATATCTAATGACATTTCAGCAGGGGTGATATTATCATGCCCTGATTAGGAAATGGAGACCTTCAGAAGTTGTGATTTGCCTGAAACTACAGAGATGACATGTAGTAGAGCAGGAATCCAAACCATTTCCAACTTCCAAGTTCATGCATATCCAGACAAGAAGTGTCTGAAATAAAGAAAATCCTAGCTTGCAGAATATAAATAAATTATTGCAGTTTTATTCTTTTTCCCTGATACATTAACTAAACCTGGTGAGCAGGCTATTTCTTAATAGGAGCTCCTAAATATGAAACATTACATATAAATTGATAAGATTTTATTTGGAATTTGAGCTCCTATGTGCTGATTTGTGGTATAAATGTTCACTGCTGAAAAAGAAAAATCATTTTCATAGGAAAAAATGACTTCAGGATTCACCACTGTATGGAAAGTCAACAATGCAAAATTAGTGGAGGTCATTTGGTGAGGTTTGAGTGATGTGAGTGGTTTCCCATGAAACCGTGGGAAGGTTTCATCACTGAGCAGTCCCATCAAGGAGTGGTGCTCATCTTATCCTTACATGCAGCTAATCTCATCCCATGAGTGCCAGGAAGCCCCTGTGCTGTTTTTCACATGTGTGAAGAGGGGTAACTTTACATGGCATAGGTGATTGATGGGCTCAGCAATTTGGATATATTGAGAGAAGCATTGGGTAGTGTCCATCAGTTGGAGGACTCAGTGGCCACCTGCAGTCACTGTCAATGGACAGCCTTCACTGGACCCACTGAAGAGCAGCTTCTCAGTCTCTGTGTCACAGTGAGCACCCAATTAATGGAGAGTGGATGGGACATTGCCTTTGTGTCCAACTCACTCCCTAGACCCAGCCACCCACAGGGCTCTTTTCCACGTCTCTCCTCTCCCCACCCCTTCTGAAGTCCTCCAGGAGGACATCAGGATTAGTATCTTCTCTACCCTCATTCTGTCCTTTTCCAGCCTATTGTTATTAAACACACTGTGCCCAGTCCTCTCATGACCTTCCATTTTGATCCTCCAGATCTTGTATTAGAAATTTAAGTGAAGTGATTTTTCTCTATAACTCCCGTTTTAACCACCCCAATTCTTCTTGAAACAGTGAGGGTACCTCCAACTCACAGTGGTTTCCAAAGTGGGACGCAAGATGATTCATTTGGGTATGACAGAAAAAATTAAAACTTCAATATATTTCTTTCAAAAATTAAAAAATTATACTTTATTGGTTTTGAATATATATGGATTGGCAGTAATGTACTACACATATATCTGTGACACTAATAGGAATGTGCAGTATAAGAAAACCAGAAATTCCTATTCTTAGTGATTGCAAAAGGTCAATATATGTAAAATGTGGAAAAGAAATGAAGAATAAAAGATAAATATTTCAAAATAATGTCTGATTTCATTTATTTTTATACTTATGTCCCATGAAGACAACAATATTTTATAGCAGAAATAAAGTACTATAACTCCTGACACATCTGATTAGTTATTAAGCCACCCTAGAAAGTATCCTGAGTCCAAGACCACTGACGGCTGCATTAATTCAGCAGTCTACAAGCGGAGAGTGCAGGAATCAGGTAGCAACTGTTGGGAAATACCTGATTTGTAGGTTTGGCTTTGTTTTTGTTTTTTAAGCACAACCCCTCCCATTCTGTGGCTCTGTGAAAGATCTCACTTTAATGGAAAGACATTCTCTGGATTTATGGGTATGGATATGCATACATAGTATTACAAAGAGAGGAGCATGACCCCTTACGAGCAGACATGCTTATGGTTCATGGAATGATGTTCGCCCTTTTATTTGGCTTTGTTGGCCTGCATTGCCTCAGCAGTTGCAGAGCAGGCTGAGTATTAGCCATGAACCCCAACAAGAACCCTGACCTCTGGTGTGTGCAAGAGCTGCTCTCAGGCCACCTAACTTTCTCCCATCTCGATGTACACCCACATCACAAGAAGACCTGGAGGCTTCTCATTGGGGAGAGAATAATACAATTTTCTCATTGCCCCATCCATTTCATTTTCAGCTGTGGGATTAAATTTACTCGTTTCTGAAGTGTTGTCTGTGCGTATAAATCATTTAAGTTTATATTTTTGTTGCTGTGGCAACGATGTGGCTAATTGAATTCCAAAGTGTCCTTCTCGATTTCAAAGCCATGATAAAGAGCCAGAGCATTTAATGATGGTAGGCAAAACAGAGGCAGAAGAGGTGGGAGGAAGGGAAAGTAAAATGACACATTCTCCAAGTGGCTCCTAAGAGCTCAGAACAATACCGCTGCTTTGACAGACCAAGCAAGAGCATGGGAGCCGGCCAGCAACCAAGGGATTGTTAAACAGTTAACAAAAGGTGGCCCGGGCTTCTTTGCAAAAGCTCCTGCATCTTCTGACCCTGAAGTTCTGCCGCCTCCTTCCTCTCATCCTGCCTGGTAGTTCTCTTTGCCAAGCAGAGGCTGTATCTTTTCACCCGGAGGGGTCACCGGCAGTTAGCAAACACCTGTTTAATAAAAGCGTCTTGGATGCATGGATGGATGGATGGATGGGTGGATGGATGGATGGATGGATGGATGGATGGATGGATGGACTGGAAAAGAATTGCTAGAAGAAACGCAAAAGGAATCCAGTGTTAAGAGACTGTCACCGGCCAGGCGCGGTGGCTCACGCCTGTAATCCCATCCCTTCCTGGTGATGCTTCCCTTAAAGCCTTCTCAGTGCTTAGTAACTCCCCAGTTTGGAGGCCTGGGCCATGCTGGCTGCTGTATCTAGTAAGGAGGCCAGGCATGGCCAGGCCAGGTGCAATGGGATAGGTGCCTTGGGATGGACTGAGACCTGAACGCAGGCCAAGCCACCAAGCAGGGCAGGCACAGATGCAGGTACTGGGGGAAGGCCAGCCCACCAGCAGAGCTCCCTCAAAGGCCCAGTGATGGGAAACAGGTGGTACAGGGCAAATGGCTGGCCAGCGGAGGGTGAGAGCAGCCCAGAAGAAGGGCAGCATGCACTGTGAGGAAACTCATCGTGATGGTTAATTTCAGGTGTCTACTTGACTGGATTAAAGGATGCCCAGACAGCTGATAAAGCAAGATTTCTGGATATGTCTGTGGGGATGTTTCTAGAAGAGGCTGGCATTTGAACCGGTGGATTAAACAAGGAAGATCTGCCCACATCCAATGTGGGTGGGCACTAGCCAATTGGCTGAAGGTCCTGATAGAACAAAAAAGGCAAAGGAAAGGCAAATTCACTCCCTCCCATAACTGGGATATTCCTCTTCTCCTGCCTTTTGACATCAGAATCCCAGATTCCCCAGCCTGTGGACACTGAGATGTATGCCCCCACCTCCCTTCCAAGGTCCTCAGGCCTTCAGTATTAGACATGTCTGCTTCCATGGTTCTGAGGCTTTTGGACATGCACTGAGCATACTCCTGGCTCACCTTGTTCTCAAGCTTGCAGACAGCAGCCTGTCACTGGACTTCTCAGCCTTCATAATCATGTGAGCCAATTCCCCTAATAGATCCTGTCTGTCTATCTATCTATTATCTATCTATCTATCATCTATCTCTCCATCAATCATCTATCTATCATCTATCTATCTATCAACAAATCATCTATCTATCTACCTATGTAATCTCCTATTGGTTTTATTTCTCTGAAGGGCCCTGACCCAACCAATTCAAAGCTGTTCAGGAAGCCAGCACCTCAGAAACACCGAAATCTAGGAGCTTGACTCCATCACCCAGACTGAGGTTAATGGCAAAATTCTGGTCCTGGTGGTCAGCTGGTAAGAACAGGGTAAGTGTAGGCCTAGGAGGTAAGGCTGCCAGGCAGAAATGAAATGTTCATACCTAAACTATAAAAGATGAGGTAGAAATGTGGTATTTCAGGAAAGGTCAGGTTATTAGAATGGGCTTCCTTGGAGATGTTTAGACCCTTCCTATCTGAAGTCAAGTTGGAACTAAGGCTCAGATGGCACTGAGCCTTTTAATAGAGCTCAGGTGTCACCAACTGGAGGAGACATGAAGTCAGAAGCTGGGCATCCTGTGGGGCTTGACCAGGGACTGAGAGGATCCGGCTACACTTCTGTTCATTCATTCATTCATTCCCCCAAGACTTACCGATCACCTTTCCTCTGTGCTGGGTTTGTGCTAACCTTTCTTGTGGCTTGATGCAGCCACAGGGGTTTATAGTATGACAGGATCAAACTATTCTATTCTACAGGGTCTCAGATATGAGTCCTCCTAACTGCTGTATTTCAAGCTCCTTGAGGCCATCATTGGGGTCTTAATAATAATTATATTTCTGACAACCAGGCACACAAAAATGTTAGTGAATGTTTACTAAAATATAAACAGTTTATTTAGTTGAAGCCCTTTACTTCATAGCCCCACCTTGATCAATCTTATTCTAATTTCCAATCAAGGTTTAATGCATTATCCCATCCTGTCCCCCAGCCTTATCTAACACATACTCACATACAATACACACCCTGAAAACTGGGTCACTAGAATAATTCTGGTGCCTGTTCCTGCTGCCTGGCTTCTTTCTGCTCCTGGCACCTGCTCTGGTCTTGGCACTGTCACAGGCTGATCAGGTGTGCACATGCTCAGGGCAGTGCTGACCATGCCAGCTTCCTGCCACCTTGGCCACCTCCAAAAGGAACATGGGAGGGGAAGCTGAGGGCAAGGGCTGAGGGCAGCTGGGCACCAGACTGTGGGTGCCCTTTGGTGCCAGCAGCCTGGGTGCCATGGATTGCCACAGGAGGTGGACAGGTTCCTGGGTGGAGGGGGCAGGTCCCTGGTAAGGCCCCATCTTGAGGCCAGGGAGGGCCTGAAGGCTGGGGGCTGGGCTGCCAGTCCCGTGGACTGGAGTGGGAACTTGTGGTGCCTCTTCTGGGCCCATCCATGGCTGCCTATGGACCAATTGGCATGCACTTCCTCTCCTCTGAGGTCCATAAAAGCCCTGGGCTCAGCCAGAGGATGGAGAGGACAGAGAGTCAACTGGACAACCAGCTGCAGAAAGAAGATATCCTCTCTGTTGGGAAGATGATGGGATGACCAGCTGCAAAGAGAATCTCTCCTTACTGAATTCAGCTCTCTACTGAATGCTGAACACTTGCCAGGATAACCCACCTGCAGAGAGGAGGTACCCATCCAGGGCCTCTCTGCTGAGAGCTGTAACACTCAAAGGGACAACCTGCCTACAGAGAGGAGCTACCCACTGTGGGTCTCCTCTGAGCTGTTCTAACACTTAATAAAGCTCCTCTTTGTCTTGCTCACCCTCCACTTGTCTGCATACCTCATTCTTCCTGGATGCAGGACAAGAACTTGGGCAAAGGTGCCCTCAGCCACAGAGGTTTCCAACCAGAAAAAGCAACATCCCAAAGATCCCTTAAAACATATACATAGGGAAGTGATTACTACCGTCAAGCAAACTAAAGTGTTCATCATCTCAAATAGTTTTCTTCCTGCTCCCCTCCCTCTCCTCCTCCCTCCTCCCTCTCCCCCTCCCTTCCTTCCTTCCTTCTTTCCTTCCTTCCTCCCTCACTTTCTCTATTTCTCTTTTCCTCCCTCCCTCCCTTCCTTCCTTCCTTCTTTCCTTCCTTCCTTCCATCCTTCCTTCTTTCCTTCCTTCCTTCCTTCCCTCCTTCCTTTCTTCCTCCCCTCCCTCCCTCCCTCCTTCCTTGCCTTGCCTTGCCTTTCCCCTAACATCTAGGCTCATAGCAAACTTCCAGTATACAATATTATTAACAATTGTCCTTGTGCTGTACATTAGATCTCTAAACCTACTTGTCCTATATAACTGCAGCTTTGTAACCTTCGACCTACATCTTTCAATTTTCTTCATCCACCAACCCCCACCCACCCCTGGTAACCACACTTCTCTATTAGGGTTTTTTTTTTTTTTGTGATTCTGCATGTAAGTAAAATAATGCACTATTTTTCTTTCTGTGTCTGGCTTATTTCACTCAGCATAATGTCCTCTAGGTTCATCCACGTTGTTGCAAATAGCAGGGTTTACTTCTTTTTAAAGGCTGAATAATACTTTATTATATATACATGTGTGTATTTACACACACACACACACACACACACTGCAAATTCTTCATACATTTATCCATCAACTGACACTTCAGTTGTTTCTATATTTTGGTTATTGTCACTAATGCTACAATGGACAAGGAAGTATAGGTATCTTTAAGAGGTGGTGGTTTTATTTCCTTTGGGTGTTTGAATTTTCAATTTCCTTTGAATTTTCTATTCTGTGGAGAAATTGCTGGAGCATATGGTAGTACTATCTTTAATTTCTTTAGGAACCTCCGTTTGGTTTTCCCCAGTGGCTGCACCAAACTACATTCCCACCAACGGTGTACAAGGATTCGCTCTATACCCTTGTCAATGCTTGTTATGTCTTGTCTTTTTGAAAGTAGCCATCCTAACAGGTGTGAGGTCATATCTCATTGTAGTTGTGGTTTCCATGTCCCTGATGATTAATGACGTTAAGCACCTTTTCATATATGTATTGGCCATTCATGTATCTTCTTTGGATAGATGTCTATTCAGGTTCTTTGCCTATTTTTAATCATGTTATGCATTGTGTGTATGTTTGCTTTTTATTATTATTATTATTATACTTTAAGTTTTAGGGTACATGTGCACAATGTGCAGGTTAGTTACATATGTATACATGTGCCATGCTGGTGTGCTGCACCCATTAACTCGTCATTTAGCATTAGGTATATCTCCTAATGCTATCCCTCCCCCCTCCCCCCACCCCACAACAGTCCCCAGAGTGTGATGTTCCCCTTCCTGTGTCCATGTGCTCTCATTGTTCAGTTCCCACCTATGAGTGAGAACATGCGGTGTTTGGTTTTTTGTTCTTGCAATAGTTTATTGAGAATGATGATTTCCAATTTCATCCATGTCCCTACAAAGGACATGATCTCATCATTTTTTATGGCTGCATAGTATTCCATGGTGTATATATGCCACATTTTCTTAATCCAGTCTATCGTTGTTGGACATTTGGATTGGTTCTAAGTCTTTGCTATTGTGAATAGTGCCGCGATAAACATACGAGTGCATGTGTCTTCATAGCAGCATGATTTATAGTCCTTTGGGTATATACCCAGTAATGGGATGGCTGGGTCAAATGGTATTTCTAGTTCTAGATCCCTGAGGAATCGCCACACTGACTTCCACAATGGTTGAACTAGTTTACAGTCCCACCAACAGTGTAAAAGTGTTCCTATTTCTCCACATCCTCTCCAGCACCTGTTGTTTCCTGACTTTTTAATGATTGCCATTTTAACTGGTGTGAGATGGTATCTCATTGTGGTTTTGATTTGCATTTCTCTGGTGGCTAGTGATGATGAGCATTTTTTCATGTGTTTTTTGGCTGCATAAATGTATTCTTTTGAGAAGTGTCTGTTCATGTCCTTCACCTACTTTTTGATGGGGTTGTTTGTTTTTTTCTTGTAAATTTGTGTGAGTTCATTGTAGATTCTGGATATTAGCCCTTTGTCTGATGAGTAGGTTGCGAAAATTTTCTCCCATTTTGTAGGTTGCCTGTTCACTCTGATGGTAGTTTCTTTTGCTGTGCAGAAGCTCTTTAGTTTAATTAGATCCCATTTGTCAATTTTGGCTTTTGTTGCCATTGCTTTTGGTGTTTTAGACATGAAGTCCTTACCCATGCCTATGTCCTGAATGGTAATGCCTAGGTTTTCTTCTAGGGTTTTTATGGTTTTAGGTCTAACGTTTAAGTCTTTAATCCATCTTGAATTAATTTTTGTATAAGGTGTAAGGAAGGGATCCAGTTTCAGCTTTCTGCATATGGCTAGCCAATTTTCCCAGCACCATTTATTAAATAGGGAATCCTTTCCCTATTGCTTGTTTTTCTCAGGTTTGTCAAAGATCAGATGGTTGTAGATATGCGGCGTTATTTCTGAGGGCTCTGTTCTGTTCCATTGATCTATATCTCTGTTGTGGTACCAGTACCATGCTGTTTTGGTTACTGTAGCCTTGTAGTATAGTTTGAAGTTAGGTAGTGTGATGCCTCCAGCTTTGTTCTTTTGGCTTAGGATTGACTTGGCGATGCGGGCTCTTTTTTGGTTCCATATGAACTTTAAAGTAGTTTTTTCCAATTCTGTGAAGAAAGTCATTGGTAGCTTGATGGGGATGGCATTGAATCTATAAATTACCTTGGGCAGTATAGCCATTTTCATAATATTGATTCTTCCTACCTATGAGCATGGAATATTCTTCCATTTCTTTGTATCCTCTTTTATTTCATTGAGCAGTGGTTTGTAGTTCTCCTTGAAGAGGTCCTTCACATCCCTTGTAAGTTGGATTCCTAGGCATTTTATTCTCTTTGAAGCAATTGTGAATGGGAGTTCACTCATGATTTGGCTCTCTGTTTGTCTGTTATTGGTGTATAGGAATGCTTGTGATTTTTGTACGTTGATTTTGTATACTGAGAGTTTGCTGAAGTTGCTTATCAGCTTAAGGAGATTTTGGGCTGAGACAATGGGGTTTTCTAGATATACAATCATGTCATCTGCAAACAGGGACAATTTGACTTCCTCTTTTCCTAATTGAATACCCTTTATTTCCTTCTCCTGCCTAATTGCCCTGGCCAGAACTTCCAACACTATGTTGAATAAGAGTGGTGAGAGAGGGCATCCCTGTCTTGTGCCAGTTTTCAAAGGGAATGCTCCCAGTTTTTGCCCATTCAGTATGATATTGGCTGTGGGTTTGTCATAGATAGCTCTTATTATTTTGAGATACGTCCCATCAATACCTAATTTATTGAGAGTTTTTAGCATGAAGGGTTGTTGAATTTTGTCAAAGGCCTTTTCTGCATCTATTGAGATAATCATGTGGTTTTTGTCATTGGTTCTGTTTATATGCTGGATTACATTTATTGATTTGCATATGTTGAACCAGCCTTGCATCCCAGGGATGAAGCCCACTTGATCATGGTGGATAAGCTTTTTGATGTGCTGCTGGATTCGGTTTGCCAGTATTTTATTGAGGATTTTTGCATCGATGTTCATCAGGTGGGCGCCCCTCCCCCAGCCTCGCTGCTGCCTTGCAGTTTGATCTCAGACTGCTGTGCTAGCAATCAGCAAGACTCTGTGGACGTAGGACCCTCCAAGCCATGTGCGGGATATAATCTCCTGGCGCGCCGTTTTTAAAGCCCGTTGGAAAATCGCAGTGTTCGGGTGGGAGTGACTTGATTTTCCGGTGCCGTCTGTCACCCCTTTTTTTGACTAGGAAAGGGAACTCCCTGACCCCTTGCACTTCCCAAGTGAGGCAATGCCTCGCCCTGCTTTGGCTTGTGCACGGTGCCCTGTACCCACTATCCTGCGCCTTTCATGTGCATCCGTGTGAAGAGACCACCAAACAGGCTTTGTGTGAGCAACATGGCTGTTTATTTCACATGGGTGCAGGTGGGCTGAGTCCGAAAAGAGAGTCAGTGAAGGGAGATAAGGTGGGGCCGTTTTATAGGATTTGGGTAGGTAAAGGAAAATTACAGTCAAAGGGGGTTTGTTCTCTCGTAGGCTGGTGTGGGGGGTCGCAAGGTGCTCAGTGGGGGTGTTTTTGAGCCAGGATGAGCCAGGAAAAGGACTTTCACAAAGTAATGTCATCACTTAAGGCAAGGACCGGCCATTTACGCTTCTTTTGTGGTGGAATGTCATCATTTAAGGTGGGGTAGGGCATATTCACTACTTTTGTGATTCTTCAGTTACTTCAGGCCATCTGGGCATATACGTGCAAGTCACAGGGGATGCGATGGCTTGGCTTGGGCTCAGATGCCTGACATTCCTGCTTTCTTATATTAATAAGAAAAATAAAACAAAATAGTGTTGAAATGTTGGGGCGGCGAAAATTTTTGGGGGGTGGTATGGAGAGAGAATGGGCGATGTTTCTCAGGGCTGCTTCAAGCGGGATTAGGGGTGGCGTGGGAACCTAGAGTGGGAGAGATTAAGCTGAAGGGAGGTCTTGTGATAAGGGGTGATATTGTGGGGATGTTAGAAGAAACATTTGTCATATAGAATGATTGGTGATGGCCTGGATACGGTTTTGGATGAATTGAGAAACTAAATGGAATAACAGAAGGAGAAAAACGGGTATAAAAGGTCTAAGAATTGGGACGACTCAGGATATCTCATTAGAGTGTGCCTAAGGAGATTCAGCATAGTCCTGCCAGCAAAAATTACTTATTTACTTCAAGAGTTAAGAGTGGCAGTTTGGGGATAGCACCAGGAGATATCAGCTGTGATGGCTTGGAAAAACAGTGTAAACCGGCAGTGTAAACAAGAGCAGGACATGTATGAGTAGTTGAGAACAGTGAATAGGAGTATGACTAGACAGAAAATAGTAGGGATGACAAGTTTTTTTTTGTGGAGGGGGGGGGCACAGTCTAAGTTGGTCTGTTGTCTGGAATGAGACTGGGGCCTAATAAAAAGGAGCGTCTATATAGGAGCTTAAATGGGCTGTACCCTGTAGCATTCTGAGGACAGGCCTGAATTCTGAGAAGGGAAAGTGGTAAAAGTATTGTCCAGTCCTTTTTGGTGGCTGAGCTTGGTGAGGTGTGTTTTTAAAAGACCTTTAGTCCATTCTACTTTTCTTGAAGACGGAGGACTGTAAGGGATATAAAGGTTTCACTGAATACTAAGAGCCTGAAAAACTGCTTGGCTGATTTGACTAATAAAGGCTCATCAGTTATCAGACTGTATTGAGGTGGGAAGGCTAAACTGAGGAATTATGTCTGACAGAACAGAAGAAATGACTGCAGTGGCCTTCTCAGACCCTGTAGGAAAGGCCTCTACCTATCCAGAGAAAGTATTTACCTAGACTAAGAGTTATTTTAGTTATCTGACTCAGGGCATGTTGAGTAAAGCTAATTTGCCAGTCCTGGGTGGGGCAAATCCTCGAGCTTGATGTGTAGGGAAGGGAGGGGGCCTGAATAATCCCTGAGGAGTAGTAGAATAGCAGATGGAACACTGAGAAGTTATTTCCTTGAGGATAGATTTCCAGGATGGAAAGGAAATGAGAGGTTCTAAGAGGTGGGCTAGTGGCTTGTACTATAGCATAACCTGCCTTTGCTGGTGTGTGTCGATTAGGCCTGGTGGAACCGCCATCAATAAATCAAGCGTGATCAGGGTGAGGAACAGGAAAGAAGGAAATATGGGGAAATGGGGTGAATATCAGGTGGATCAGAGAGATACAGTCATGGGGGTCAGGTGTGGTATCAGGAATAATGTGGGAGGCCAGATTGAAGTCCCGGCCAGGAACAATGGTAATTGTGGGACTTAAAGAGTGAGTACAGCTGAAGGAGCAGGGGAGCAGAAAGTATATGCGTCAGGTATGAGGAATAAAATAGATTTTGGAAGTTATGAGAACTGTAGAGAGTGAGTTGAGCATAGTTTGTGATTTTGAGGGCCTCTAAAAGTATTAAAGCAGTGGCAGCCACTGCACGCAGACATGAGGGCTAGGCTAAAACAGTAAGGTCAAGTTCTTTGGACAGAAAGGCTACAGGGTGCGGTCCTGGCTCTTGTGTAAGAATTCTGACCGTGCTAACCATGCCTAGGAAGGAAAGGAGTTGTTGTTTTGTAGAAGATGCTGGGGTTTGAGAGATCAGTCGGACATGATTGACAGGGAGAGCACGTGTGTTTTTATGAGAATTATGCCGAGATAGGTGACAGATGAGGAAGAAATTTGGGCTTGATTGAAGTAATGGGGGCTGTCTGTGAAGTTTTGCGGCAGTACAGCCTAGGTAATTTGCTGAGCCTGATGGGTGTCAGGGTCAGTCCAAGTGAAAGCGAAGAGAGGCTGGGATGAAGGGTGCAAAGGGATAGTAAAGAAAGCATGTTTGAGATCTAGAACAGAATAATGGGTTGTAGAGGCAGGTATTGAGGATAGGAGAGTATATGGGTTTGGCACCATGGGGTGGATAGGCAAAACAATTTGGTTGATAAGGTGCAGATCCTGAACTAACTTGTAAGGCTTGTCTGGTTTTAGGAAAGGTAAAATGGGGGAATTGTAAGGAGAGTTTATAGGCTTTAAAAGGCCATGCTGTAGCAGGCGAGTGATAACAGGCTTTAATCTTTTTAAAGCATGCTGCGGGATGGGATATTGGCGTTGAGTGGGGTAAGGGTGATTAGGTTTTAATGAGATGGTAAGTGGTGCATGATCGGTTGCCAAGGAGGGAGTAGAGGTATCTTATACTTGTGGGTTAACATTGGGGGATACAAGAGGAGGACGCAAAGGAGGCTTTGGATTGGGAAGAAGGGAGGCAATGAGATATAGCTGTAGGCCAGGAATAGTCAGGGAAGCAGATAATTTAGTTAAAGTATCTCAGCCTAATAAGGGAACTGGGCAGGTGAGGATAACTAAAAAGGAGTGCTTAAAAGAGTATTGTCTAAGTTGGCACCAGAGTTGGAGTTTTAAGAGGTTTAGAAGCCTGGCCATCAATACCCACAACAGTTATAGAGGCCAGGGAAACAGGCCCTTGAAAAGAAGGTAATGTGGAGTGGGTAGCCTCCGTATTGATTAAGAAGGGGACGGGCTTAACTTCCACTGTGAGAGTTACCCGAAGCTTGCTGTCCATGATGGTCTAGGGGGCTTCTGAGGCGATCGGGCAGTGTCAGTCTTCAGCCGCTAAGCCAAGAAGATCTGGGAAGGAGTCAGTCAGAGAGCCTTGGGCCAGAGTTCCAAGGGCTCTGGGAGTGGCTGCCAGGTGAGTTGAACAGTCTGATTTTCAGTGGGGTCCCACACAAATGGGACGCGGCTTAGGAGGAATCCTGGGCTGTGGGCATTCTTTGGCCCAGTGACCAGATTTCCTGCACGTGTAGCAAGCTCCTGTGGGAGGAGGTTCTGGAGGAATGCCTGGCCGCTGCGGTTCAGGCTTTGGAAGTTCTTGTGTGCTGGAGATGTGGCTGGGGTTTGTCTCACAGTGGAGGGAAGGAATTGCAACTTTTTTCTATTATTGTACACCTTGAAGGCAAGTTTAATTAAATCCTGTTGTGGGGTTTGAGGGCTGGAATTTAATTTTTGGAGTTTTATTTAATGTCAGGAGCAGATTGGATAATAAAATGTATATTGAGAATAAGGCGGCCTTTTGACCTTTTAGGGTCTAGGGCTGTAAAGTGTCTCAGGGTTGCTGCCAAAAAGCCATGAACTGGGCAGGATTTTTATATTTGATGAAAAAGAGCCTAAACACTATCTGATTTGGGATAAAAAGGAGCATTAACCTTGACTATGCCTTTAGCTCCAGCCACCTTTTTAAGAGTAAATTGCAGGGCAGGACGGGGAGGGCTAGTCACGGAAGGAAACCTTAAGCCGGACCAGGTGTGAGGAGGGGAGGTGATAAAAAGATTATAGGTTGGAGGAGCAGAGGCTGAGGAAGAATTGGGACCTAGCTCAGCCTGGCGAGGAGCAGCCTGGGAAGGAAGGGAGAGGTCAGATGGGTCTGTAGAAAAGGAAGATTAGAAAGACTCAGCGATGCTTGGGCTTGGTACTGAGGGGACAGGTGGGAGGGAAAGAAGGAAGATTTGGGACGAGTTGCACTGGGCACAGAGACTAGGAAGGGAATGATGTGTAAAAGAATGCCTGGACATCAGGCACCTCAGACCGTTTGCCTATTTTACAACAAGAATTATTTAGATCTTGCAGGATGGAAAAATTCAAAGTGCCATTTTCTGGCTATTTGGAAGTACTGTTGAGTTTGTATTGGGGTCAAGCGGCATTGCAGAAGAAAATAAGGCATTTAGGTTTTAGGTCAGGTGTGAGTTGAAGAGGTTTTAAGTTTTTGAGAACATAGGCCAAGGGAGTAGAAGGAGGAATGGAGGGTGGAAGGTTGCCCATAGTGAAGGAAGCAAGCCTAGGGAAAAGAGAGAGTAGAGAAATGGAGGGAAGGGGTTTGGGGGTTCTTACCTTCCAGAAAAGTGGGAAAAGGGGTTGGGGCACAGAGATAAGAGGTCGGGGCATGGAAATAAGGGATGGGGCACAGAAATAAGGGGTCAGGGAATGGAAATAAGGGGTCGGGGCATGGAAATAAGGGGTCAGGGCACGGAAATAAGGGGTCGGGGCATGGAAATAAGGGATTGGGGCACAGAGATAAGAGGTCAGGGTGTGGAAATAAGGGATTGGGGTGCAGAGATATGAGGTTGGGGTACTTGCCCCTCCTCTAGAAAAGCAGGACTTGCCGCTAAGAGTGAGGGAGAAGGGGTTGAGGGGTACTTGTCCCTCTCCCAGAAAAGCAGAGAAGGGGTAGAGGCAAGGAGAGAAGGGGTTGAGGTACTTGCCCTGTTGCCGGAAAAGCAGAGAAGGGGTAGAGACAAGGAGAGAAGGGGTTGAGGTACTTGCCCCTTCCCCAGAAAAGTGGGACTTGCCACTAAGGGTGAAGGACCAAGGCAGGCATCCCTGTGTGGTCTGACACCCTTGAAACATGGGTGTATAATCAGAGAGGCGTCCCTGCAATGATTAAACACCAAGAGAAGTCTGCCTTCCCAGTCCTTGACCGGTGCTGAAGTTTTGGGTCCACGGATAAAACGTGTCTCCTTTGTCTCTCCCAGAAAATGAAAGGAATTGAAATTAAGAGAAGGGAGAGATTGAAGAGTGGAAAGGAGAAAGTGGTTGAGGGACAGTGAGAGAGGTTGGAGAAGAGAGTAAGAAGAGGCCGCTTACCTGATTTAAAATTGGTGAGATGTTCCTGGGGCTGGTCGGTCTGAGGACCTGAGGTCATAGGTGGATCTTTCTCATGGAGCAAAGAACAGGAGGACAGGGGATTGATCTCCCAAGGGAGGTCCCCCGATCCGAGTCACAGCACCAAATTTCATGCGCGTCTGTGTGAAGAGACCACCAAACAGGCTTTGTGTGAGCAACATGGCTGTTTATTTCACATGGGTGCAGGCGGGCTGAGTCCGAAAAGAGTCAGCGAAGGGAGATAAGGGTGGGGCCGTTTTATAGGATTTGGGTAGGTAAAGGAAAATTACAGTCAAAGGGGGTTTGTTCTCTGGCTGGCAGGAGTGGGGGTCGCAAGGTGCTCAGTGGGAGTGCTTTTTGAGCCAGGATGAGCCAGGAAAAGGACTTTCACAAGGTAATGTCATCACTTAAGGCAAGGACTGGCCATTTACACTTCTTTTGTGGTGGAACGTCATCAGTTAAGGTAGGGCAGGGCATATTCACTTCCTTTGTGATTCTTCAGTTACTTCAGGCCATCTGGGCGTATACGTGCAAGTCACAGGGGATGCGATGGCTTGGCTTGGGCTCAGAGGCCTGACAGCGCCCACTGTCTGGCACTCCCTAGTGAGATAAACCCAGTACCTAGATGGAAATGCAGAAATCACCCGTCTTCTGCGTTGCTCACGCTGGGAGCTGTAGACTGGAGCTGTTCCTATTCGGCCATCTTGTCTTCTCCCCCGTGTGTTTACTATTGAGTTCTGTGAGTTCCTTATATATTTTGGATATTAACCTCTTATCAGATACATGGCCCACAAATATACCCTCCCATTCTTTGGCTGCCTTTTCACTCTGTTGATTGTTTCCTTTGCTGTATAGAAGCATTTTAGTTTGATGTGGTCCCACTTGTTTAGTTTTGCTTTGTTACCTGTGCTTTTGGTTGTCTCATCCAAAAAACAAATCATTGCCAAGGTCCGTGTGAAGGAGATTTTCTGTATGTTTTCTTCTAAGAGTTTCATGGTTTCAGGTCTGAGGTATGGGGACATTTTAAAAAAGAGAAAACCATAGGAGAATTCTACCTGTGCATGGTGGGGCTCTTGGTTTTGAGGTTGTGCTTCTAGCTCCACAGATCTGGTCTCAAGGAAGGGAGATCTTCCATTGCCCAAGTAGCCCCTATGATGTCAGATTCACCCACCAAGCTCTCCAGAGCTCCAAGAGTGCCATGTGTGTGAATGTATGCAAACAGCATGCCACAAGGAGTTGTATTACTTCCCTTCCCCTCCCTTCGGGACAGTGGCTGTGTCTTATTTCTTATTTGTCTGTGGGCTCCCTAAAGTGTCTAGACCAGGGTCTCTCTTTAGTGAGCACATAGAAGTGCTCACTAAAGGTGTGGTGAATTAAGGTGAATCCACAGACCCCACTGGCTGAAGCACCCCTCCCCCATCAGAACAAACCAAGTGGATGTCAGTCTTCTCCCCTAAAGAGGTTCAGAAAGACAGAGCCCCTGGGGAAGGGCTCTTTACCCCATGAGGCCCTTCACTCTTAGCAAATGCATGCAGGTGAGTACACCTAATAAAGCAATTGCAGTGGGGGCCACGGAGGCTGAGGCAGCCCCAGGAGAGCTTAAGTTCCCACAGTGGGCCGGGCTAATGAGGTCCTTTGGCACAGGACCTACAACTCTGGCCAGTTCCCTCTTGGGGATCAGGAGCAGATTTTTTGAGTCTTGTGAAAGGAATCAATTTTCTGCAGGAAGGTCAAGGTGAATGAGTACACATGGATAGGCAGCCAGTTGTCAGAACCCAGAGCTCTCCAAGCAGGAACTGTGCTGCCAGCAGGGGTGTTGGCCACACCCCAAGGCCCTCTGGCTGCTTCCTGTGTGGACATCATTTCAACTGCCCAAGAAGGCATCAACAGAGCTTCCTTGTTTTTGTTTGAAAGAAGGCCACAGACAGTGAGTTTGATACTTTCCTGGCAGACAGAACAGGCCCAGAATACCTTATCTACAATTCTGAAATCCAAAGAGCTCAGAAAATGGAAACTTTTCTTATAACTTAATTGGCAGAAAAACCTGACCTGAGCTGAATGCATTTGGCTGCAAAACTTGACCTTATCTGATGTGAGGTTATCTGTTTAGTGTGAATATTCACACATTGCACTGTAGGAATATTTATGTGTTTGATTACGGGTGCTGCCCTAGACCCTACGGGGGTGCTGTGGAATGTGCAATATATATAAGGATGCTTGCCCTTCCTAAAGCCTGGAAAGGTCTGCATCCTCAAACATCGCTGGCCCCTAGGGTGTCAAAGGAGGGGCTGTGTGACAGGACTGAATACTTCCCGTAATTTTCCATTTATACATCTGTATTGAGGAGTGGCATGTTCATCTTCTAGCAGTCTGCTTTAGCTGATGTCTTCTGGTGGCAAGGACAGAAGATGTTCAGGTAACTTCGGAAAAGGGACTTTGCTGTCAAAGCCCCTCTTGCTGTCAAACTTCTCATATTAGTGAGAACTAAAGGAGTTAAGGAGTTGCCATTGTTGGGAGCAGCTTTACATTCTCTCTCTCTCTCTCTCTCTCTCTCTCTCTCTGTCTTTCAGTCTCACTCTTGCTCTTTTCTTTCATCTTTCTCTCCCATAAGATTGTTGCATGGTGTCCCTTCCCTCATTGCCTTCTTTCTCTCCTTCTCGCTTCTCCTCTTCTCATAGTACCTCTCCTCCTCTCTGGGCATCTGCTTCATTCTCTGCACAACCTCCCCTGTGTACTCATCATTCCAGTTGCTCATAAATTTGGCTTATACACAGCTTGTCTGTATCCAGCTGTATTTCCATGGCTTACTTACTCATACTTTTTGCCACTGTTCACTCCATGTTTCTGTGTGTCTCAATTGGACAAAGAAAATGATTGGTGCAAAAGTAATTGCGGTTTTGGATCATGATTTTTAAATCATTATAACTAGGCTCAAACACATCTTTATTAACCAAAATAGAAACCACTACAATCAACACATTTTTGCCAATGAGAAATAAGTTTGTTTATTTCTGTAGCGTAAAAATTCGTGCTTTGGGATTTGAAAAACTGTTGGAAAGCATTTTCTGCATCCTGCTGGTTGTGGAAGCATTTCCCCTGCAAAAAGTTGTCGAGATGCTTGAAGAAGTGGTACTAGGTTGGCGAGAGGTCAGGTGAATATGATAGAGGAGGCAAAACGTCGTAGTCCAATTCGTTCAACTTTTGAAGCATTGGTTGAATAACCTGTGGTTGGGCGTTGTCAGGGAGAAGAATTGGGCCCTGTCTGTTGTCCAATGCCAGCTGCAGGCATTGCAGTTTTTGGTGCATCTCGTCAATTTGCTGAGCATACTTCTCAGATGTAATGGTTTCTTTGGGATTCAAAAAGCTGTGGTGGATGAGACAGGCAGCAGGGCCACCAAACAGGGAGCATGACCTTTTTTTGATGCAAGTTTGGCTTTGGGAAGTGCTTTGGAGCATCTTCTCAGTCCAACCACTGAGCTGGTCATCATTGGTTATCTATAAAATCTGCTTTTTGTCACACATCACAATCTGATCAAGAAATGGTTGATTGTTGTGTAGAATAAGAGAAGATGACACTTCAAAATGACAATTTTTTTTTAATTTTCACTCAGCTCATGAGGTATCCACTTATTGAGCTTTTTACTTGTCCAATTTGCTTCAAATGTGGAACAATTGTAGAATGGTTGACTTGAGTTCTTCGGAAACTTCTTGTGTAGTTGTAAGAGCATCATCTTTGATGATTGCTCTCCATTGGTCATTGTCAATTTCTGATGGCTGGCCACTAGCTCCTCATCTTCAAGGCTCTCATCTCCTTTGCAAAACTTCTTGAACCACTATTGCACTGTACATTTGTTAGCAGTACCTGAGCCAAATGCGTTGCTGATGTTGTGAGTTGTCTCAGCTGCTTTGATTTTGAACGACCCATTTTGAACTCTAATAAGAAAATCGCTTGAATTTGCTTTTTGTCTAACATCATTTCCATAGTCTAAAATATACATAAAATAAATGGTAGGTAGTAAGTCAGCAAAAAACCATAAAGCAAGAAATGCCCATTAATATGGTGTATCCAATATCAAATGGCAAAGTCCAACAATGTAAAAACCGTAATTAGTTTTGCATTCACCTAATAATAGTCTCATGTTATCTTTTCATGACACGTCTATGGAAGGACCACCCTGGTTAGGTGCTCACTCTGGTACTGTCAGCTGGGTTAAGGAAAAGGGACATGTGCCACAGAATATGGCTGCCTAAGCCTGACCTTTGAGTGGGTGCTGGCATTTCACTTAGAAGGCACCATGGCTATGCAGGCTCCAAAAGTCTACTACATGGTCTAAACTCTAACATTGCTGAGGGATGACTCACAGGACCAAAGATTGGAAATATTTCAGCAAGCTCCAGTAGTACTGGTTGTATACCTTTTTTTGCCATCCTCCAGTATACGCACAAATACTTCATACTTTTCAGCTACTCTAAGATTACAGGGTTGTTCTCTTAAAGTCACATGCTTCTGAGAGTCACCATTGCAGATATTCCCTGTCCGGATCAATGGTTGCCAATTCCCATCCAACCCCACTGTCCTAATACCTCCCACAGCAAAAGAAACTGAGACTGGAGCAAACCCAAAATAGAGTCACATTTATGGAAGTCATTTGGACGAACAGACCAAAGAAAGGCAAAGAGTCAATGGCTGCTAATGCTCCTGTGACCATATTTACCATATGTACTGTATTTCAGCAACTCTTAGAAATATAGTTACCCAAATCGAGGAGAATGGGTTTTGCTGATGGAATGGACATCCCTGAAGTCCTTTAGTAGCATGTTGAGAAGGTGGTCCTTCTGCATCTATGTGTACAGACAAAAATCCAAGAAGGAGACTAAGATTGCTAGAATCACATGCAGCCTGATCCTAGGAGGATCCTACCCCCAACAAGAGCTGGAAGGCATGAGAGACAGTGGCACTGACAGGGCTTGGGCAGAGTGAGATCAGAGAGCAGGCATCTTGGAGCCGAGCTGGGCAGGGCCCATGCTCAACTGTGCCATCAGAAGGGGATTGAAAGAGAATCCTCCATGCGAAGGGGAGGCATGCTGTGTCAGCAAGAGCTGTTTAAATAGATTTCCTTGCTGGCAGGGTGCTAATGAGGTGTTAACACAGGGGAGGGAGGCAGGCGGGGCTTTCTGGAAGAAGGAGCAGATCTAAGCAAGGCTTCAAAGGAGGTGAGTTAGGAGCCTGAGACAGCCGCCCTGCCCACCTGCCCTAAGTCAATCTGAAGGCTCTCTTTAAGGGAGCTGAAGAGGACAGTCTGGATGTTCTGAGAACAGTTCCTCTTGTTCTCTGTCTCACGATCTTTCAAGAATCCTCCTCCTTGTTCTTTAGAAGCCAAAGTGCTCACTATTGTGTTCAGGGCCAAATTCCATCAGAGACTCTTTGTCTGCACACAGAGGTGGAAGGCGGGCTCACTCGTCACTCCCCATCTTGCCTCACATCACAGAGGTGGGCTCCGGGGCCTATTGCCTCCCAGAGGGAATCCATTTCCTGGGCTCCTGCTTCTTACTTGTCAGAGAAACTACAAAAGGCATACACTTCCATAGCTTTTTCCAGCTGGATTTAAAGTTTTAAAAAAATCACTTTAAACTTTCTCTTCTATGAGGCTAGCAAGATACCTTTGTTTATGTCTTTCCATTTTAAGGACAAAAGGAGTTGGAGTCTATTAGATCAAACTATATGAAAGTCCCATTTTTGTAGGTCAGAAACAATTTTATATATGTGATATCACATAGTTCCGAATAATATAACTGCCTGGAGCTGGGCATTGGATGGACTGGAACTCAGAATGCTGGGTTTTCTCAGGATGGTGTGTACAATGCACTGGCTAGAGCAACATGAGGGTGGAGAAGAGGAACTGGAATTGGAAGTTGAGAAAAATAATAATGATGATATTAGAGAGCTAGCTAGTCATAGTAATAGAGCTAACATTTATTGAGTTCTTACTACATTCCATAATACAAGTTTTGCATGTCATAACTCATTGAATTCTCACAATATCTACAGGAGGTAGTTACTGTCCAAAGGGAGAATTAAAAGTCCAAGAAGATTAAGTTAGATGTCCAAGATCACCTACAAGGATGCCAGAATTTGGTCCAGGCAGATGCGTCCTGAAGTCTGTGCTGTCTCCTAAGCTTTAACATAGAAGGAGGAACTTTGAATAACAGAGAGGTATTCTTGAACATCTCGTCTTCTCCCTGGACGTTTCCCTGCTGGGCTGGTGGGACAGTCCAGGTTGAGTGCTGCAGTGGAAAGAGGGAAAGAGTGGCCTTTAGATGTGAGATAGACGTGGGTTTGAATACCAGCTCTGTTTTTTATTTTTTATTACTCCTGTGATCTGAGAAAATCAAACGGACTAATGTAAGTTTCAAGTTTCTCAGCTTTAAAATGGGGCTATTTATAAATGTAAACATAAACATAAATATAAATACTTTATGGGGATGTTGGGAGACATCCATGAAATAAAATCTTCCTAAACTAGAAACTCTCCAGGAAAGGTCAATCTTATTCATGTCTGTGTGACCCATTGTTAAGGGCCCAGTAGCTATCTGGGCTGTATAAGTCTTTATTGAATGACTGGGTATTAAGGAGAGATTGGGAAGATATGTATGGTGTGGGGAATGTGGAAAGGTGTTGCGAGTTATTAATGAAGAGGAAAAATGGAAAAGCAAATGAGAGGAAGTGAGTGAGAGTGGAACTCAGAGAAAAGATGTGGTCAGGAGTCCATCCAATCAGGGGGAACTATATTGGAGGAGAATTTCTTTCCACACATCCACATGCCCTTTCCCTATGTGTTAGTTTCCTGCGGCTGGAGTAACATATTATCACGAACTGGGTAGCTACAAACAACAGGAATTGGGCCAGGCTCAGTGGCTCATGCTTGTAATCCCAGCACTTTGGGAGGCTGAGGCGGGCAGATCACTTGAGGTCAGGAGTTCAAGACCAGCCTGACCAATGTGGTGAAACCCTGGCTCTACTAAAAATACAAAAATTAGTCAGGTGTGGTGTCGTGCGCCTGTAATCCCGGCTACTTGGGAGGCTGAGGCAAGAGAATTGCTTGAACCCAGGAGGCAGAGGTTGCAGTCAGCAGAGATTGCACCAATGCATTCCAGCCTGGATTACAGAATAGACTCCATTTAAACAAAACAAAACAAAACATTAAAAAAAAAGAGGAATTTATTCTTTCATAGTTTTGGAGCCACAATTCCAAAATCAAGTTGTCGGCAGGGCCACGCTCCCTCTAAAAGCTCTAGTGCAGACTCCTTCCTTGCCTCTCCTAGCTTCTGGTGACTGCCAGCAACCATTGGCACTTCTTAGCTTGTGATGACATAACTCCAATCTCAGCCTCTGCCCTCATGTGGCTCTCCTCCCTGTCTGTGTTCAGATTTGCCTTCTCTTACAAGGACTCCTGTCACTGGATTAGAGCTCGCCCCAATCCAGTATGATTTCATTTTAACTTAATTACATCTGTAGGAGGGAGAGCATCAGAATAAATAGCTAATGCATGCTGGGCTTAATACCTAGGTGATGGGTTGATAGGTGAAGCAAACCACCATGGCACACGTTTACTTATGTAACAAACCTGCACATCCTGCACATGTATCCTGGAGCTTAAAATTAAATTAAATTAAATTTTAAAAAATTACATCTGTAAAGATTCTATTTCTAAATAAAGAAACATTTATAGGTTCTGGGTGGACATGAATTTTAAGGGGATGCTATTCCACTCAGTACACCCTCCTAGTCATTAATGTCTGTGTAATACTAATTTATTCATTCATTAATTTATTTAACAAAATTTTCTGAACATCTACTCTCTTTCAGGCATTGTGTTAGATGCTGGAGATACATGTTGAATAATGCAAGGTCCTTCTCCATAAGGATCTCACTAACTAATTAAAGAAACAGATGTGTTGACGGGAAAGTTTAATACAGGTTTATAGAACCAATGACTGGACCCTGTTCCTAAGGCCTAGGTGGGGAAGGAGTCAAGTCTGACACGAAAGACCACTGGTCAGGGTAGGCTTCATAGAACAGATGGTGCTTGTGTTGAATTTTCTTGAAATCATCAAAGGGGTTTGCAGGAGGGACAAAGGGGAAGGTGCTCTAGGTGGCGGGCACAGTGTGTGCAAAGGCTGGGGACCTTGAAGCTGCCTCTTATGTTTGGGAGTTCTGCAGGTGCTTTGAGGCTGATGCTAGTTACAGCAGGGATATAGGACCCTCTCACAGGGAGAAAAAGACACGCTATGGGAGGTGTGATTGCCCTGAAGCCCAGCAATGGGTCATACAGTGGCACCAATAAGCCTTAACAGGAGACAGGGCAGCAGTTGGGGCTAGCCGTCCTCAAACTGGTTGCTTTTGGCACCATTTGCCTGGCCAGTTGACCCTGAAAAAGAAAAGACAAGACAAGAAGAAAAGAGGGAGGGAAGCTGTGTGGTCATTTTGTTGTCATGACACTCTCATTTTACAGATTGGAATACTGAGGTACAGAGAGGTTAAATGGTTTTCCCTAAATGACAAGCAAATAAATGGCAGAGGGTCAAACCTCAATGACTGAATTTCCTCTATGGATTGTTCCCAGTGTTCTACACTGCGTTGCAAGGAAGACTGATATGGAAAAAAAAGAACCCACAGTTATCAAACAAGCCAATTAAAAGGCAATTATTTTTATTACACCATGAGTCTCTGCCTTACCTGGGGATTTGCCACCGTGTTATGTTTGACTAGCAGCCCCCTAATAACAGTCTGCCCTTCAACAACGTTCCTTCTCAGGTATTTAAATGTGCCCTGATAGATCACAACTTGCTTATTTTAGGAAAAGAGAGTAATAGAAAACTATCAACAAAGTGTTAAAACCCACCACCAATGAAAGGCTAACTAGAATTGAAGCAGTATTAGTGCTTCAAGGGAATTATGACCAAAGTCAACAAGAAAATGTGATTTCTTTTCCTTTTTTTTTTTTTTTTTGAGATGGAGTCTTGCTCTGTTGCTGAGGCTGGAGTTCAGTGGCATGATCTTGGCTCACTGCAACCTCCGCTTCCCAGCTTCAAGCAATTCTCCTGCCTCGATCTCCTGAGTAGCTGGGATTACAGACAGTGGCCACCATGCCCAGCTAATTTTTGTATTTTTAGTAGAGATGGGGTTTCACTATGTTGGCCACGCTGGGCTCAAACTCCTGACCTCAAGTGATCCACCCGCCTCGGCCTCCTGAAGTGCTGAGATTACAGGCATTAGCCACCGCACTCAGCCAGAAAATGTGATTTCATTAAAAAACATCTATGTTAACTGTGGAGGCCTCCTCCACCCTGGGTGCCACCAGGGCTACCCCTTAGTGTGAACTTGTTTAAAGGAAATTTGGATCCAAAGTATGTAAAATGTGCAACAGTTGAATAGATACAATTATTCAGAAACACGCCTTTGGTGCAAAGTGAGGCAGAGCATCCCAGCCATTCACAAACAGCAACCATCCACAAGCCTCTGGCATCATACAGAGGTGCCTTGGCTCTGGCGGTTGTGTTAGCCAAAAAGGGGCCTTGGTTGGAACTGGTGGCATGTTGGGCTTGCCACCAGTATGGTCAAAACCCTAAGGACCCCAAACACATGTGAGGCCTTTGGAACAGACAACCAAATTACCTCAAGAAGGCAGTATGCACTGGGGAAGCCTCAAATAGGATTATTCTAGAGTAAGGATGGTTCTTTGCTTCTAAAGTGAAATAAAGAGTAGAAGAAACTATTCTGATGTGAATCAGGAATAAAAAAAAGCCCCAAGTTCAAGTCCTTGCTCTGTGCTATCTGAATGGCACTGGGCAAGCCCTTATACCTTTCTTGATCTTTCTTCTCTCACCTGTTAAATGAGCAGATAGAATTAGATGCTTCTTCTTACCCCTCCCAGCTCTGATATTTTTTGATCAGTGACCAGGCAGGTGTGAGGTCAAAGATCTTCACACAGAACAGCCTGGTTGGAGGCTGAATCTGGATCTGTCTTGGCAAGGCTTAGATAGGGCTGATATTGAGGCTGCTGGCCAGGATGGGGACACAAGCTACTGTGGCTTTTTCAACTTGAGACTGGGAGGAAACGATCAATACAAGTCAGATGGAAAAGGACATAAGCATCAGGGGAAATGTTATTGGCAAAGGGAGACACTTAAACTCGTGCAACTGGAAACTATAAGGCAAGGACAATGAGGCCTTAAAATCAAGCAATAGCATCAGCAGTCTGCACTTGGCTGGCTTCAGCGAGCTTCGACAAAAGAGGGAAATGGGACTTTGGAGGTGCAAGGGGTGCTAAACCCCTTCCTCATTCAATTGCCAGGATATGGTCCCACGAGGTGACCTCCCTGCACTCTAATCCATCACTCTCTTCCCCCTACGACTCCCCCACCATACTTCCTTGACCCTCAGTAGGAATTACGGAGTATATGACTTTAGGTATTGAGCAGAAGACGTTTTTATTATTGGACGCTATCATTCCCTGTGATTCTCAATGATACAGGGATAGAAAGAGGCCTGCTTTTAATTAACGGCCACAAGCTAATTCCAGAGTCAAGAAGAACTGAGTAAGTTCCTCGTCTAAGGACATATAGTGGGATAACTGAGAATCCTAAGGGACATGCATTCCCGCTATTAGGAACAGTGACAGCAGTCACGACGTTAACAGCCCTCATACATACAGCCATCATCTACTCTGTACCAAGCAGTGTGCTAGGTGGTTTACACTTGTTGAGGGAGGTGGCTATTTTTAAGCTGGAGGCAACATGAGTTTGCTGCTCCCAACTGTGCAAACATTCTGTTAAAGAGAAAAAAGGAGCCTTATTTTTTTTTTTTTGAGGAAAGCACTTCGTTGGGGTTGATGGTCAGGAATTATGGGCTTGGGTAGGTAAGTGTGGGCTGAGATTAAGAAAGAGTGAAATTACTGCTGAATAAAGCAACAGGCCTAAGAGGAGTGAATGGGGGATAGTGTCTGCCTAAGAGGAAAGATGGAGAATGGCTCAGTAGAAGTAGTCACGGACACAGGAGACAGAAGGCCTTGTGATATGTACCTGTGGTTGCCTTTATGCCATAGTCTAACACGTTTGCAATGTTACCTTGATGGTTATCAGTGGAAGGGGTGGGGGAAGGAGTTCCACAATTGTGTCCTCCATTAGGTAATGTCTGAAGACATTTTTGGTTGTCATGATTTGGGTGAGGGATGCTACTCCCATCTAATGGATGGAGACCAGAGATGTTTCCAAACATCCTACATTGCACAGGACAGCCTCACAACAAACAATTATGCAGCCCCAAATATCAGCAGTGCCAATGTTGAGAACCCCTTAAGGAATAAGGAGAAAAGGCTGTTTCAGACTGAGGCAGAGTTGGGCAGTGAGAGGAGGACAGCTATAAGT
Source organism: Homo sapiens (assembly GCF_000001405.40). Lineage (NCBI taxonomy): Eukaryota > Metazoa > Chordata > Mammalia > Primates > Hominidae > Homo > Homo sapiens. Next base: position 87,820,258 of record NC_000015.10, on the reverse strand, counting down.
TTGAGCCATCTGGCAGGATGACTGGGAATCCACCACAAAGGAGAGCATAGAAGAAGCAGAAATATGAATATGGTGTAAGAAGTGACAGTGTGAGCTAGGCGCGGTGGCTCATGCCTGTAATCCCAGCACTCCGGGAGGCCAAGGTGGGTGGATCACCTGGGGTCAGGAGTTCGAGACCTGCCTGGCCAACATGGTGAAACCCCATCTCTACTGAAAATACAAAAAAAAAAAAAAAGCGGGCACCTGTAATCCCAGCTATTCTGGAGGTTGAGGCAGGAGAATCACTTGAGCCCGGGGAGCAGAGGTTACAGTGAGCTGAGATCGCGCCATTGTACTCCAGCCTGGGCAACAAGAGTGAAACTCCACCTCAAAAAAGAAAAAAAAAAAGAAAGAAAAGAAAATAAATGACAGTGCAACCTAAGTGGCCCCTCCCTTGGCTCCAAGAACCCTGGGAACCAAGGATATCGAGCTGGACTTCATCCTTCTTGTAGCATGGGTGAGCTCCTTGTATTTTTTCTGTATGGAAAGTTTGACTCCTGAACAACTTTTAAAGGTTGAGGACACTGGCTTTAATACACATTGTCTTTTTCTTACCTTCACAAAAGCCCTGTGCATAGGTTTATCAGCCCTATTTTAGAGTGGAGAAAGACTGAGGCTTGGAGTAGTAGTAGGGTGGAGTAGTAGGTTGGTGATCACACAGCCAGCCCAAGTTAGAGCTGGAAGTTGATCCAGGTCTATCTAACTGCAGAGCCTGAGCTGTCCATTATCCCAATATGGCCCCAGTGGCACTGGGGGATGTGTACATGTGTTTTCACATAGGGCTTCACACAGACACTGGCTTTGAGCAGCGTTCTGTATGTCAGTGGTAAGTTTCCAAACCACTTGCACGTTTGGCAGATAATTAGCAAAATTTTGTAGGAACATGTTAGGTAGGATTAAAGTTTCACGTGTCTTATGAAACCACCAGATTGGTTTTTACTGTGAAGTTTATGTGAGGATATTATCTCCAAGTCTAGTTTCTTTCTTTTCTTCTATCTCTAAATTACATTCTCACCTTCATACAATTGGGGGGCAGGCAAATTTATTCTCAGGAAATAAAGCTCCCACCAGGAAATGGTTAGGAGGACCCTTTTTCTATGGGGGAATGATGTGACTTGTGTTGACTGGGGTCCAGGGCTGAGCCCATTAATGGAGGTGTAGTGCAGCCCCACCCTCTGTCCTACAGACCAGGCATGGAGTCCTTTTGGGAATTTGGAAGGGCAACTGCTTGGAATGTCCAGATCTGGTTATCATGTTAAAGTCTGATTGACATCAGAATTAATCAGAAAAATTGCTTCACCAACTTATATCAACTCTGCATGCTCTCCCGCAAGGCTGACAGCTATCCAGCTATCCAGCACCAGTGGTAGTTTCCATATTGGGTCCAGTGAAATCTCATGCTCTACTTTGGTTTATAGACTTCTACAAAGGGCTTTTAGTTCCATAGTCACAATGCTGTCCATTCACTAGAATAGTAATTAAACTCTTTTTTTTTTTTTTTTGAGACGGAGTCTTGCTCTGTTGCCCAGGCTGGAGTACAGTGGTGCAATCTTCGCTCACTGCAAGCTCCGCCTCCCAGATTCATGCCATTCTCCTGCCTCAGACTCCCAAGTAGCTGGGACTACAGGCACCCGCCACCACACCCAGCTAATTTTCTATATTTTTAGTAGAGACGGGGTTTCACTGTGTTAGCCAGCATGGTCTCGATCTCCTGACCTAGTGCTCCACCCGCCTCGGCCTCCCAGAGTGCTAGGATTACAGGCGTGAGCCACTACGCCAGGCCAGTACTTTTATTCTTTAATACATTTATCATAAAAGATAAGTAATGTGAACCTATTCAGTAGTGTTTTCAAATGAGTCTGTCTTTTATTGATCACGACATCAACCAAAAACATTTGGAAAACTGCAGCACGTGTATACACAGGTACAGGTTTGCAGATTTTTGGCAGTAAGTCCTCTGTGTGACTGTCTCGCTTCATTGTTCACCCTCAGGTCTCATAGCCTGCAGGTTGAGAACTCCATGGTGGGGTTCAGCTCTGAAAATCCCCAAACAGTAAGTGGGTTGTGGGACCTAAAAAGTTAAGTGACTGGTTGTGTTGTTTATGCTTTGTAACATTAATGATATATCATTGTTCTCAAACTTTGATTCTTCATAATACTTCTGAATCTAGAAAAGAAACAGTGTTAGACGAATAGATACAGATAACATCTTCTCTCATGCTATAGTGAATATTTGTAAGTATTAATTCAGATACATTCCTAATTCTCTCCAACTCTTCCCTCCCTCATGGCCTATCTCTTTATACCATAGTCTGGGTTTCTCCATACTGATTCTCTTAACATTTAAGTCATATAGTTCTTTGTTGTTGGGGTGCTGGGTGCTGTCCTGTGCATTATAGGATGTTTAACAGCATCCCTGGGCTCTCCCACTAGATGCCAGTAGCACCTTCCCAGTAGTGACAACCAAAAATGTTTCAAGACCTTGTGAAATGTCCCCTGGAAAGCAAAACTCCCCCCAGTTAGGAACCACTGCCATAGTGGATTGGCCTTCTATAACCACTTGCTTGATGTAAGCCATAAAAACTAAACCCTTTAAATAAGAGTTTTTAATTTCCAGGGTTAGCCGATCTAAAAACAAAGCATGTGTTGGAAAGAGCATTGCACTTGGAGGAAGTAAAACCTGGACTTGAATCTAGATTCTGCCATATATTAGCTAGGTAAGTGACATCCTCTCAGTTTCCATCTCTACTGTAAAATGTGGGTAATAACATTCGCCTTGCATAGCTGTTATGAAGGTTAAATAAAATACTAGAGGTAAAGCATCTAGCACTATGCCTGGCACAGAGCAGGCACCCAGTGAAAACTGAATTCAGAACTGGATTCATCCCACTCGATGTGTTGCATGTCACCATCCTTGTCCTCAATATTGTGCTGGCTGAAGCTTATTTAAAGAGTGCATATTTCTAGAAATTTGCTAATATAATTAGGAAAAACTGATTGCTGAAGATCATTACTTCAAAGTGAAACTGAAGACTGCTAATCTCATGGAGTCTTAATAATGGAGCAAAACTCCAAGAAAATGTAGTTGGTTAAGTCAAGTTAGGTTACAGGACTTGGGGAATTTCCTGAGCTAATGACTGACTCACTTGGGAGTCATATCCAGCCATCGTAGATGACCACGACCTTGACCTGCATATCGCTGTGTGTTTAATTCATGGGACTGTGGGTAGTGTAAGAGTGGGATGCTTCACAGAGCGATTCACTTCACTGGTATGAAACTCCTGGAACATGCCCATTATACCCAGGAAGCTCTTGCGCCAGCTCTCACCCCAAGCCTTCAAGGTAAAAGACACATCTTGCATTTTCTAGAGATAGGAGGGCTGAGTTCTGCCCTGCAGTCCAGGGAGGCCCTGTCTCAATTTGGCTTTCTGGGTACAAGCCTGGTATATTGGGGCCTGAGGTTGCCTTCAAGACAATGGTGAATGACATGGCTGGTGGTACTATTTAAATAATGAGACCACCCGAATCCCCGGTCTTCAGTGGGGTGGACACAAATATAGTATGGAAGTAGAATGGTCAAAGGATGCACGAAGGGTGCGAAATAGAAAGAATATGGATTTTGGAGACAGGCAGATTTGATTCAAACTGGCCCCACTGCTTACCTGCTGGGTGATGTGGAGTGCTAACCCACTTTGAGCTTTGGTTTTCCAATGTGTGAAGCTGACATCCATGGTAAGTTTTGAGGTTTGGAGGTAGTGTAGGCAAAGTGCATGATGCAGCACATCCCACTGGGTCCCATGGGACCCAATACATAGGAGTTCCTAATACCATTATTGCTACTCCGATGATTGCTTTTCAAACAAGAAAATTAGTGTGATGCTTGTTCAACAACTTTTTTTTCTGATGTAGTAATTTCTCACTGTGACAGACTTTTAGCAAACACATCCAGAGGAACTCATGTTTAGTTATGCATTTTTGTGCTGCCTTTAACCAAACAAGACAAGTGCCTGACATTGACACTGAACAGAAAAATCTGGGGCTTGTGGACTCCAAAGCAAGCCAACCAAAGATCATGTTAGAGAGGCTTTGAAGCCAATTTTGTGGTGACCTTAATCACACTGGCTCTCAACTCCTCTCTCAGTACTATGTTTCTCTCTAACTCAAGCTCCTACCTGCAGCTCTCCTGTCAGCCATCTCCAGATCCCATGCTACAGACAATCCCTTTACAAAGACTTTTAACTCCCAGAAGCAGATTGTTCAGCCTGACAGCATTAATAGATGGATTGGAGGTAAACTCTGGCTCTCCATGTACATCCGATATATTTTTTTGACGACTACAGGTTATTACTTCTGAAAACTATAATTGACTAGTTCTGTCAAAGCACATAATATCTCAGGCTCTAGCTTCTCCCTTTTTGTTGACAGAAAGGCATTTGTCAAGTTCCAAATTTGTTTGTGTCTCAGCTTTACTATTCTTATGACTTGGAAGGCATAAGTGAACACTTAAGCATTAAAGGAAAGCATTGTATTCTGACTCATTTTAAAAAGGAATAGGGCCACGGAAAGGAAGAAACCATTTTGCCTGAATTTATAACAGCTTTGGGAGACACGTGGGGCTCTACTCCCTCATTTGTAGGGGGACTCCTGACTGGGTTGGTGCAGTGAGGGCTCCTGTAAGATTCAAGCTTAAGACATTTAAAGAGTTGGAAGCTTCTTCATTTTTTCTAGTATTTTACTGTGAAAGAATTTCAAACACTTAGCAAAGCTGAAAGAATCTCAAAATTGAAAGAATACCCTTATACCCACCATTCAGCTTCTACTATTACAATCTGTATATTCACTTTATCAGATCTCTGCCTAGTTGTCCATCTCTCTATCCATCTATTAATTCATCTCATTTCTGGTGCATTGCAAAGTCAAGTACAGTATCAGTATACTCTCGCATCAATATTTCAGCATTTATATTGTCAATTCCAGTTCAACATTTCTTTACGGTATAGTCTTCCTTTGAAATAAAATTTACATACAATGAAATGCACGAATCTTGAGGGCACATGAATTTTGACTAATGCATATACAAAACCAAAATTAGTTACTTGCCCATACTGGCCAGAATGGTTATAATTTAAGATGACTGAAAACAACAAACTTGGCAAGATTTTGGAACAACTGAAATTCTCGTACAATGCTAGTGGAAGTAAAAATGGTACAACATCTTTGGAACAAAGTCTGTCAGTTTTTTATAAACCTGTATCTATTTTATGATGCCCAGATTTCTATAAAGGTTCTGAACTTCGCTGTCATCTCAGAAATTTCCCTTCTCAGTCCACCATTTTTACTGTCCTCCAGAGTTAATGACTGTTTTAGTTACTTTCCACCATGGCTTAATTTTGCCTGTTCTTGAACTTTACATCAATGGAATCTCAGAGTATGGTCTCTTTTGTTAGAGACTTCTGCCACTCAGAATAATGTCTTGGAGATTTATCCAGGATGTTGTGGGCATCAGTAATCCACTCCTTCTTATTGTGGGGTATTGCACCGATGTATGAATATATCCTTGTGTATTTATCCATTCTCCCATTGATGGACACCTGGGCTCCTTCCAGTTTGGGGTTATTATGAATAAAGCTGCTGTGACTGTCATTGTACAAGTCTTGTTCTGTATATTATTTTAACATCTGTTATGTAAATACCTAGTAGTGGAATTACTGGGTCATAAAGTAGGTGCATGTTTATAAGAAACTGAAAGACCTTTACCAAAGTTATTGTACCATTTTATATTCTCACTAACATTGTATAAGAGTTTCCATTGTTCCACAGTCTTGCCAATATTTGGTGTTGTCAGTCATTTTTAACAGTAATCATTCTGACAAGTATGTACAGGTGTCTAATTATGATTTTAATTCACATTTTTCTGATGACTAATGATGTTAAGCACTTTTTTATCTGCTTTTTGGTCATACATACATCTTATTTTGTGAAGTATTAAAATATTTCCTCCATTTTTAATGACTTGTCTTCTTATTATTGGTTGTAGAGTATATTTATATTCAGGATACCTGTTCTTTGTCAGATAAATGATTTAGAAATATTTACTTCCAATCTGAAGCTTGTCAAAGCATTTCCTTAATAGTGTCTTATGATAAGCAGTTGTTAATTTCGATGAAATCAATTTTTAATGGCAATTGTTTTTTGTGAATTAAGGAACTTTAGCCTATTCTCAAATCTTTTATGTTTTCCTCTAAAATATTTATGATTTTATCTTTTACATTTGTGTCTATGATAAATCTTGAATTAATTTTTGCGTTTGTTGTGAGGCAGGGGTTGAGATCCATTTTTTCCTATATGGACATCTAGTTATTCTGGTATCATTTGTTAAAAAGACATTTCTCTTACTATTTAATTTCTTTGTCTCCCTTGTCAAAAATTAAGTGACTATAAAATGTGAATTTATTTCTGGGCTCTCTGTTTTGTTCTATTGATTAAGATTGAGGTTCATTTTTGTTTTGAATATATGTATCCAAATGCTCTAGCACCATTTGGGAAAAAGACCATTCTTTCTCCATTGAATTCCCGTAGTAAATCTGTCAAAAATCAATTGACCATATACATTTGGGTCCATTTCTGGACTTCCTATTCTGATCAGTGGTCTATATGTCCATCTTTCACTAATTCCACACTCTCTTCATTACTGAAGCTTTATAATAAGTCTTGAAATCAGTAGTATAAGAATTTCAAAGTTTGTGTTTTTCAAGATTGCTTTGGATGTTCTATGTCTTTTGCATTTCCATTTAAATTTTAAAGACAGCTGGTTAATTCTTACAAAAATAGCCTGCTGGGATTTTTGATTGAGAATTATATTTATAGATTAATTTGTGAAGAACTGACATCTTAATAATATTGAGTCTTCTAATACATAAACATATTATACCTTTTCATTTATTTAAATCTTTAATTTTTCTATTTTTTAGTTTTTAATGTACAATCTTGCACATCTTCTTAAAATCTATTATTAAGTGTTTTACACAGTTTGCTGTACTTGTAATTTAAAGTTTGGATTTTGTATTCTAAGTGTTTGCAGCTGGAATATAAATCTACAATTGACTTTTGTATATTACCTTTATTTTGTGATCTTACTGAATTCATTCAGTTTAACTAGTTAGTTTATGGATCGCTTGAGGCTTTATATGTATTGCCATATAGAAATAGAGGCACTTTTACTTATTTTTTGCTTTTATGCTTTTAGTTTATTTTCTTACTTTAGTCCAAAGGCTAAGACACCTAGTATAGTGTTGACTAGAGGTAATCTGAATGGGCCTTTTTTCCTGATCTTAAGGTGGAAGCATTCACTATTTCATTGTTAAGATGATGTTAATTTTTGGTTGTTTCGTAATGCCCCTTATCAGATGAAAAAGCTCACTTCTAGTCCAAGATTGCTGAGAGTTTTTATACTGAATGGCTGTTGAATTTTCTTTACACACAAACTTTCAGGCTCTACCTCTCTTATTCTCTCCTTCCTGGGATTCCCCCTTTGCAAATCTATTGAATGAGAAACAGTTTCATTCTGTTGCTTTTGTTTTCATTTAGCTGGTTACTTGGGGTATTTACTGAATACTTATTTTATCTCCTTTTCTGTAAAATTCTGTCCAGTATTATATTGGTTTGTTTTTTACTGACGTATTGAAATTACTATTTATTTTTATTTAAATTAATATAGATATTTAATTATTCTATATAAAGAAAATATTATTTTCAAGTCTGTTTTTGTCTTTTAAACTGTAGAATATTTTAATATTGATGTAGTAAAACTGTTTTTTAGTTAATTAATTTTCTTTTTTTGAGACACAGTCTCGCTCTGTTGCCCAGGCTGGAGTGCAGTCATGTGATCTCGGCTCACTGCAGCCTCCACCTGCCAGGTTCAAGCGATTCTCCCACCTCACCCTTCCAAGTAGCTGGGATTACAGGGGCACACCACCATGCCTGGCTAATTTTTTGCCTTTTTAGTAGAGACGGGGTTTCCCCATATTGCCCAGGCTGATCTTGAACTCCTGAACTCAGGTGATCCACCTGCCTTGGCCTCCCAAAGTGCTGGGTTTGAGGGTGTGAGCCACTGTGCCTGATGTAGTAAAATTTATCAATTTTTCCTCTTAATGCTTAAATGATTTGTATCATGTTTAGAAAATATTTTTGCATTTCCAAGACTAGAATAAAGCCACAACAGGAACATTAAGTAGAAAACCTGTGAGATGTGGCCAGATAAGTTCCAGAGGAAAATCTGTAGCTTAAGTGCATTTATTAGTTAGCAAGAAATCAAATCTTAGTAAACAAAGTTTCTCCCTCAAGAAGCTAAGAAAAGAATACTAACGACTCTACCTCCTCCATGGAGTAATAAATTAATTAAAAGAAAGTCAAGCAACACAATAAGTAAATTTGGTCAAAAAACCTAAAGTTGTTTCTTAAAAGGACCGATGAAATACACAAATTTTGGCATTTACTTAATGAAAGATGAGTTATGACATAAATAAACAATTGCATTTAAAAAGGAGACAAAGCTGCAGATGAATTGAAAATTATAAGCAAATACTAATTGTGTTGCAAATATAGATACAATACATATGATTTTTCAAGAAAATATTCCTTACCACATTGGCTTATGAAATAAGAAATCCAAGTATAGAATAAATATAGAAGAAAGTTTAAAGGTAGTCAGAGATTTATCTCTAAAAATCACACTAGGCCTAGGCAACTTTGTAAATTAGTCCTAGAAAACATTTAAAAGAAAGGTAATTCCTGTATTACACAAATTTTTCTAGAGAATATAAAGATATAGAAAGGCAGATAGCTCATTTAAGAGGCTCACTTCATTCCAATACCAAAACTTGATAATGATAGCATGTGGGAAAGAAATAGTAATTCAGTCTTATTTGTAAAAATAAACACAAATATATTAAATGATATATTATCAAATTTATTCCACTGAAATGTTAAAAGGAAAATCTACCTTTACTAAGAAAAAATTAAAAGTCAAAGAAGTATTAGAAAAATTACTCACGTAAATAACTGCACTAATAGACAAAGGAAAAGTTATTTGCTTAAGCCAATGCACATAAAAAACAAATATGTGTTTTCATTCAACATCCATTTCAAACAAATAAAAAACTCACTAATCAAAAGAAGCCTCTTAGGAAACCAGAAATAGAGAGCAACTCCCTTCACAAGATTAAGGAATCTGCTGGAAACATTAGCACTGTACTTCAAGCCCTATATGATGAAGACAGGAAAGAAGAAAGGTTATAAATATCAGGGAAGCAGAGACAAAAATATCCTTTTTATGAGCAGACAATATAATCCTCTGCCTAGGCTACTGGCAAATATTAGAACTAACAAGAAATTTAGTAATATGATTTAAGATCCACAAACAAAAATAGATAGTTAGAGAGCAAGTAAGTGAAAATCATATATTGTGAGAAATGCAAAACTTTATTGAAAGATGTAAAAAAGGCCTGAAGGAGTGAACAAATATAACTCATTCTTGATGAGATGTGGTGTTGGAAGGATGAGAACAGAACCCAAATTTATCCATAATGTCAATGCAATCCCAATAAAATCCTAAAGGTTTTTCATGGAACTTGACACATTGACAATCAAGTATATAGAAAAGAGGGAAAATGTAGACCCAAGGCAACTTTGAGAATAGACAATGAAGGGAAACATGCCCCACTAGCAGAGCTGGATTTCTCATGGAACTAACAAACTTGAATATCAGGACTCTTCACTTGCTTGGCCCCTCTCTAGGACCAGGGAGGCATGTGGCTATGTGCTGACATGTTATGGTCTTATGTTTTTGTAAAAGTTGCCAAAATAAGATTTCCCAAGCACATTTATTTTTTGGCTCAGCCTTCCATGCAATCACACTTGAACTTGGTCCCATGCTGGAGTAGTGGCAGAATGGGTTCAGGATGGGTGGTGGCACCATGGCGGTTGCTGGGGGCTTTGGCTACGTTGGATGGCTTAGTATTAACCAAGTCATACACAGAAATGATGGAAACTCCATACATCTATCCCAAACTCAACTTCCCCTTGGCCAGGACCTAAACACATTGCTAAAGCCGTGCTATAGGCTTACAATGATATTTCCAGAACTCAAAATTCATTTTAAAGAGAGAAACCAGAAAGCAAGTGGATGAAAAATTTATTTGTAAAGTTGATAAAGCTCAAATACACTCTTTTAACTGTAATTTGGAAGGAGTGTTGGAACAGTTCAATAAGACATAAATAATAGACTCCTGATTTAGATGGATGCAAAGAGTAGCTTCTTTTGTCATTTTAAAATTTATTATTAAAGAGTAGAGAAATAAGTCAAAGAATAAATGAAATGGGAAACCAAAATGATAAAGATGAGTTATAAAATTAACATAAATTATGCAGACATGGAGGAGAAAATAGTAAAAAAAAAAACACTGGTTACATCAAAAGTGGTAATTATCTATGAGAGAGAGAGATGTTTTAAATAGAAGTTATGAATAAGCACATAGATCGTTTGATAAGCCAAATAATGAAGATGAGTGGATCACAGAAACACACTGGGAAAATATTGACATTTATTGCCCATTTGACACAAGATGTCACTGTCAACAAAAATAACTTACACTTATAATTTACCACTAGAACAAGAGTATTGACATGAAAATGCTTAACGAGTGTTGTCAGTTCAGAGTGTATCAGATTAATTACAGCACGAGAAAACTTGGAAGGCTCCAAAACCTTACAGTTCAGGTATAAGTGAAATTGGCTAGAGGCTTTTCCAAATTTGGCAAAAATCTTAAAACATTACATGGCAATACCAATAGCTATGTATGATGCTAAAAGAAACTTTATAAAGCTATCTATAGTAAAACAAAAACGTACATTTTAATTAACTATGTTAAAGGAAAGTTAGACCAACTTTTTATTCTCCCTGTAGACGATATTACAAAATCATTATCATGTTGAGGGAAGTGACAAGTTCTGTTTAGCCTAAAAATGGAAGGACAAAAAAGTATAGCAGAAGTGTGTCCGGCAGTTAGTTAATATGGATAGTATATTATTTTTTCTGAATTGTATGATGTTTGTAGTATTTTAAACAAAAAATGTTTAAAAAGTTTTTTAAAACTTCAAAAAAATTAAAAAAGTGTTTCATAAAAACCTTTAAGAATGTGTAATTTATTGTGATCTTTTTCTTATTCTAAATAAGTATTTACTTTTATACTTAATTGTGTTACTGTAATTCGGTATTCTTTTTTAAGATGACCTGCAAATTATATCAGCTCTAGGTCCCATGAAACTTGAGTCCTCTGTGGCCTAGTAGGTATTGAACCATTTATCAATTAGAGTATTCGAGCAATGCTATATTGGTTTTGGAATAAATCAGGGATGATCCAACTTTTTCTGTAAGGAGAGTAGATATTTTCAACTTTGTGGGTCACGCGGTTTCTGTTACAACTGCTAAGCTCAGGTGTGTAAACACTGCCAAACACAGTATGTAACAAATGAAGGTTCTGTGTTCCAGTAAAACTTTATTTATGGACACTGAAATTTTGATTTCATATATTTTTATGTTTCAGGAAATATTCTTCTTTTGATTTATTTAAACAATTAAAAAATGTAAAATCATTCTTAGCTCATGGGCTGTATAAAAAATGGATGGTGGGCCAAATTTGACCAGTGGATTTTAATTTGCTCACCACTTGAACAGATAAAGGTATCAGAAGAATAAAATAGTAATTCTTGTAAAAGACTATATGGATTTTTTTTGAATTATAGATTAAGAGTTTTCAATCAATGGGAAAAGGATGAATACTGTAATAGGGTAGAGAGATTTGGCTATCCATGTTGAAACAAAAATCCTTCATAAAGGTAAATTACAGATTGATTGAAAATTTAACAACACAGTTTTAAAAATATTAGAAGGAAATGTAGACGGACAGGTTCTTCCCTCTACTGTGTAATTTTCTGTTTTCTCTTTCCTTAGCCTGTGCTCGACAGCCTTAGGCAAAAACTTGTTTGAACAGTGCAAAAGGAGAGGCTGTAAATGTAGTTAAAAACAATAATGATCTTCTATACACCAACAGTGACCAAGCTTAGAATCTAACCAAGAACTCAACCCCTTTTAAAATAGCTGCAAAAATAAATAAAATGCTTAGGAATATACCTAACCAAGGAGGTAAAAGACTTCTACGAGGAAAACTACAAAACACTAATGAAAGAAATCATAGATGACACAAACAAATGGAAACACATCCCATGCTCATGGATGGGTAGAATCAATATTGTGAAAATGACTGTACTGTCAAGAGCAATCTACAATTTCACTGCAATTCCCATCAAAATACCACTATCATTCTTCACAGAATTAGAAAAAACAATTCTAAAATTCACATGGAACCAAAAGGAGCCTGCATAGCCAAAGCAAGACTAAGCAAAAGGAACAAATCTGGAGGCATCACATTACCTGATTTCAAGCTATACTCTAAGGCCATAGTCATCAAAACAGCATGGTTCTGGTATAAAAAATAGGCACATAGACCAATGGAATGGAATAGAGAACCCAGAAATAAACCCAAATACTTATAGACAACTGATCTTTAACAAAGCAAACAAAAACATAAAGTGGGGAAAGGGCACCCTTTTCAACAAATGGTGCTGGGATAATTGACTAGTCACATGTAGGAGAATGAAACTGGATCCTTATCTCTCACCTTATACAAAAATCAACTCAAGATGGATTAAGGACTTAAATCTAAGACCTGAAACTCTAAAAATTCTAGAAGATAACATTGGAAAAACCCTTCCAGACATTGGCTTAGGCAAGGATTTCATGACCTAGAACCCAAATGCAAATGCAATAAAAACAAAGATTTATTTCTGGGACTTAACTAAAGAGCTTTTGCATGAAAAAAGGAACAGTCAGTAGAGTAAACAGACAACTCACAGAGTGGAAAAAAATCTTCACAATATATGAATCTGACAAAGGACTAATACCCAGAATCTACAATGAACTCAAACAAATCAACAAGAAAAAAAAAAAAAAACAATTCCATCAAAAAATGGGCCAAGGACATGAATAGACAATTCTCAAAAGAAGACATGCAAATGGCCAACAAACATGAAAAAAATGCTCAACATCACTTATGGTCAGGGAAATGCAAATCAAAACCACCTTACCTCTACAAGAATGGCCATAATTAAAAAATCAAAAAACAGTAGATGTTGGTGTGGATGTGGTAATCAGGGAACGCTTCTACTCTGCTGGTGGGAATGTAAATTAGTACAACCACTATGGAAAACAGTGTGGAGATTCCTTAAAGAACTAAAAGTGGAACTACTTTTTGATCTAGCAATCCCACTACTGGGTATCTACCCAGAAAAAAAGAAGTCATTATATGGAAAAGATACTTGCACACACATGTTTATAGCAGCAAAATGTACAATTGCAAAAATGTGGAACCAACCCAAATGCCCATCGATCAACGAGTGGATAGAGAAACTGTGGCGCATATATATATATATGATGGAATACTACTAAGCCATAAAAAGGAATGAAATAATGGCATTCAAAGCCACCTGGGTGAGACTGGAGACTACTATTCAAAGTGAAGAAATTCAGGAATGGAAAACCAAACATCGTATGTTCTCACCGATATGTGAGAGCTAAGCTATGAGGATGCCAAGGTATAAGAATGACACAATAGACTTTGGGGACTCAGGCGGAAAGGATGGGAAGGGAGTGAGGGATAAAAGACTACAAATAGGGTGCAGTGTATACTGTTCGGGTGATGGGTGCACCAAAATCTCACAAATCACCACCAAAGAACTTACTCATGTAACCAAACACCACCTGTTCCCCAGTAACTTAAGGAAATAAAAAAAAATTTAAAAAACAAAAACAAAACAACAACAACAATGATGTTGACAGCAACAGAATATCATTTTAAAGGCCCAATCAAGACTTGAAATATCAAGTAAAGGATTTTAGAGTTTTTGTTGCAGAGAAAAAAGTTTGAGCCAGAGTAAGATGATCAGATCTGGGCTTTTGAAAGTGCATTTGATTAAAGGGAACAAGGCCTGAAGTGGCCAGTCTACCTTAAGATGGTGACAAAGAGGGAAGAGAGATGTATGGGGCACCCAAGTCTCCAGGGACCTGAGCCTGGCCTGTTGGACTCACCCAAGATGCAACGGTTGCACATCAAAGCCCCCATTCCTCACATACTGGCTGGCTTTAGACATTCTGGCTTTAGCCCAGGCATTGTGAGGCCTATAAACATGCACTGAGATATGACTGATTGGATGTAGAGATACCATCAAAAGAAATTCCCTGTATGTTGTGGAACGGATCTTACAGGCGAAAAGCAGAGCAAAACAACCACCAACAGAAAACCTTCCCATGCTGAGAATGGGAGCTCTGTTGTGAAGCCACAGCTTTGAGACCAGGAGACCCATGTTCTTGAGAGACTCTGCTGAAGTCTGGATAAGACAGGCAGGGATGACTGAGGGCAAACAGCAGATCCAGGCCTCTGCGATAAAAGCAGCCAGGGGTGATTTAGACTTCCATCATAAAACAGAGTCCACGGTATTCTTCCCCTTCCTCCTCTCATACTCTCCACAACCACAAGCTCTCAAGATTCCAGCCAGCTGGGAGCCTCACAACTGAACTCCCCAGAGGCTACTGTGAGGGGATCCCACTACCTCTTGACTGTTTTACCCTCTCATATCCATAGAAAGGATCCCCAGACCCCTTGTTTGTCTGGCCAGGACGGAATTCATTTCTTCTTCCCAGCAATCCCCACCAAGGTTCTCTTGCTCCCTAACAGACAGGGCTGAAGAGCTGGGGAGAGAAAGCAGCCAACCTTTGTGGATAGGTCGGGAAGATATGATCAGCAGCCCTCTGCCAGATTCTGTCTCACCAGCCACTTTATTACAGGCTGTTTTGTTTCAGGTGAACTTGATTTAACCCTCCATTTATTTAGAATCTATGAAATCATAAACTCTGTCTATTGTATTTGCACTCTGCAGGTGCTTAAGGGAGAGATTCTCTCAAATGTTTATATCAGGAGACTCCAGGGCTCTACTTCACTCCCGGCATATCCACACACAAGTGTGCACATAGCCCTGACTGTCCGCTTGCCTCCCCACCTATCCATATCCAGCTCCTCACCCATGAACACACACACACATACACATACACATACACACACTGCATATAACTTCATAGGCACATTTTTTTACCAGCCATCATCCAAACACAACTATAGACTCACTCACACAAA